>NC_000006.12:100979880-101131396 GCF_000001405.40 Homo sapiens | reverse complement strand
ATCACCACCATCTCTTGCCAGGATTACTGCAGATGCTTCCTAATTGGTTTATGGACTTCTACCCTCATCTCCCTTACCTCGTCACCATAATTTTTTTCCCAATTCAGCAGACAGATTGATCTTTTAGAAACCTAAGTTCTGCACTGTGACTTTCTTCCAAACCTTGCAACAGAGTAAAACCTCACACAGTAAAAGCCAAACCTTTAGAATGGCCCATAAACTCTACATGGCACAGCTCCCTGCTGGCCATCTGACCCTTTCTTTTACCACCAATTCCTCAGTCACTCTGCTCCAGCCACACTGGCCTCCCTGCTGATCCCTGAACTCGCTGAGCACAGCCCTCCTTAGGGACTTTGTACTTACTGCTCCTTCTCTCTGGACCTCTCTGTCCCTAGATACCTATTTAGTTGGTTTCCTCACCTCCTTTAAGTCTTTGCTTGCCTTCTCAATAAAGCCTACCTTGATCAATCTATTTAATTTTGCAACCTTCCCCCTTCTTGCCACCCAGCATTCTAGATCCCCCTTGCCTGCCTTTCCTTTTTAGTTTACAGTTGCATGCAGTCTTCTAACATGCTATGTAATAATTTAATTAGTAAGTTTACTGTTGATCATCTATCTTCTTGTGGTAGAATATAAGACTCCAGGGATCTGGTCTCTTATGCCAGTCCTTAGCTTACCTATTTGTCCTCATATTTCTTCTGAGCCCTTCTGTTCATTCTGTATCTAGGAGGTGCTGATTTCTTCAGGCTGCATTCCTAGATCAGCTACCTTGGAAATAAAGGGAGACAAGAAACTCGAAATGAGTTGGTTAGGTAGATATTTTGTCTTTCAACCCCCAACACATCATGACCCTCCAAAATCCTGATATTTCTTGAAAGATCATGAATGCTATTGGTCTACTAAGATAACATTAATTGGAATGAAGATATTGTTTACTAAATAGTAACCTGAAGGCTTTAAAGAGTTAATGTCACTTTCAAATAGGCTAAACATAACCAGACCATGTATTTGGGGTGGGGGAAAAGATGAGGTTTTGTTCAATTTGTGCTCAGATATTTGTCTTACGATATATAGTTTTTCTTGAAATTCTAAAAATAATATATTCATTTGGAAAGGCATAAAAGTTGAAAATTATTATAGGAAGTTTCTAAAGCTAATTAATTTATCTTCTCTTGATTATTTTCCATAAATATTCCCTGATGTTTCCTTCTGTCTTTTATGGTTTTTGAAGTAGTTTGCAGTGTTTCAGAAACAGTCATGGTGAGCTAGCTGCATGCTAGTGTTCCAAAGTCTGTTTCCATATTTCCATCAGACAGTAGGCTATTTGTTCTTGGATATGTCCTAAGGCAATCTTGACACAGAAATGCAAAGTAATCACAGTTATCTGGAATGTTTGATTAAAATTTACAGTGATAGCTTTGGCAGCAGAAATATTCTTATACACTAAGATGTCATAACGCTTGTTTTTTAGACTGTGATTAGACAATGAATCCATATAATCCTGCAAAAGTACCTTTACATTTATTACAAGGGCTCCTGTTTATTCAACCTGGCTATATGTACTGGACAATTTACAAACATTATTTCTTTGAATTCTCAGAACCATCCATTTTACAGATGAGAAATTGAAACTGTGAGTCATGCAGTTATAAGTGACAGAGATGAAATTTCCATGCAGATCTCTCTGATCTCAAATACTCAGTTGTTTTTACTAAATCTGCCACCTTAGGCTTTACAAAAGGTAGGATAGATAGAAATAGAAATGCACAAATAACTACGAAATATTTTTGATTCCCAATTAATATAAACTTATTTCAGGAGGGAGTGAAAGTATTCATTTCAGAAGGAAAGTGACGTGTATTCAAGCCAGAAGATCCAGTTGAAGATGAGGCCAACTGGGAATACTGTCTGTTCCCTTTTGTGGTAGTGGTAACTCCATATAATATATCACAAAATTTCAATGAGTTTTAAATTAATAAGGAAAAGGCTGAGCTAGCTAATATTTAGATAAAGAGTCATTGAAATATCTAGGAAGAGTACACAGAGAAAATTTTCTGTACTTCTACTTAATAGTAGTAGATCATATTTTTCATGGTTTAATATGAGGCAGTCACTGGGAGAAACACTTTCATGCAATCCATAATGTCCTCCACACTCTTATTATCAACTACCTTAGTTGAGGAAATTGAGACTTACATAGGTTCAGAATTTGCCCAAGATAACAAATGGGAGAGTTGGCAATTAAAGTCTATGTTTTTAACCGAAATTCTCTTAAGTACTATAAAGCATTGGTGGTATTGCCTCTGAACTGAAATGTACCTTCACTGCATGTTCCCTCACCCCCATGCAAGGTCACAACATCTTATAAAAACAATTGAAATTATTTAAATTGTCCTAACACAAAATATTAAACATAGTAGTATTTGAAATCAGCTATATAGAGTTATGTAATATAGATTATGAATGTATTTGTTCTGTAATAGTAAAAAAAGAAATCAACTTTAAACAAACTATTTTAGATAGGGATCTTCTGGCCATAATAACACTCCTAGTGTGTCACATCTTCTTGTATCCACATCTTTGTGTAGTTCTCTCTCACAGTGACTTTAAGTGTGGAGCATGCCTTGCTTTGGCAGTAGGATGTAAGCAAATATGACACAAGTAGAGGCCTGAAAGATACTAACACATTGAGGGGGATGTTCTTTTGGAATACTACCATAACCTTGGTAGTATCCTGCTGGAGAAACTACATGGAGAACACAGGCACATTGGCTAATATCTACAGATAACTCTCAGACACGTAAGTAATGTTATTGTGGACTATCCAGCTCCAGTTGAACCATAAGAGGACTATAGACACAGGAGTGACTACAGGCAATATCAACAGAAGAACCACCAGCTGAACACAGCCCAAATAACAGAATCATCAGCATATAAATGGCTGTTACCTTAGTCAGTAGGTCTTAGGATAGCCTGTTACCAAAAATAAATAACTGATACACTTTTTTTTTCTTTTTATACACACTCAAGCACCTGTGTGTATACATACTATTCTCTGCCAACATATTTTCACGTATTATCTGCTCTTGACACTGAAAGAAAATGTTACAAAATGTCTAAGCCATATTTCTCGATATTGTGTGAATCATTGATATTGCTGTCTTTTTGGTTGCACTTCTATAAACCTTATGAATATGTCACAAATACAAATTTACTGCACTGTGGTATAAAACTAGCAAATATGATGCATACTAAAATATAAAATGTTATTTCATTTAAACATTTACATATAAAAATATTTAGTCCCTATCTTCCTCTTTTAGTGATTAAAAAATAAAAGACACTCATAAGATGGGTAAGACTGACAGTAAAGTGAGTAATACTTTAAAATTCAGAAACATTGACTTAAAGTCACCTTCATGGACAGATACGAAAATGGACATCTGTTTATCAGAACCTCAAAAATATTATCCTCATCTGTATTATTCATAGATGACTGAAATAGCAAGAAGATATTAAATATTTTGGCACAGGGCATTGCCCCCAGTCAAAATGCAAATCCTTGGTTAGGATAATATCTCTAGCATCATCATTAACAATGTAGTATAACTATATCGGATTCCTCCTTGAGTATGGGTTTCCCAGGATATTAGGAAGTGTGTGAAGAATCTATGACCCTAAGGGACTATGACTAAGAAGAGAAAGGGTGGGAGACACACCTGATCCATTTTATTATTTTTCTCAGAATCGGGAATGGAATCAGGCTAACCATATATGCTTTCAGGGAGCAGGTAGGGGGTACCAGCCTCATGAGTCCCAAACTCTCCCAATTTTTCATTCAACACTGTAACTTTTATGCCGGCCTCTCCTAGAAACTTGCACAACAGAGAAAAGGAGAGTCACATAGGATTTTGAGAAATATGAGAAAGAATTCTAGAAATATATTCAAAGCTCTGCTACTTTGACCTAAGTTCTCCTAGTTCTTTCTGAAAAATGAAAATAATAAATCATTTTTATTTGATTGTTCTAAGGCAAAGATTAGCAAATTCTGGCCCATGGGCCAAATCCAGCCCACTTCCTATTTTTATACAGCTTGTGAGCTATTTCTAGTCTAGTCTACAAGGCACACAACATAACCAGAAATGTGACAACTTTTTCTTCTGATCTTTATTAAAAAGTAAACAAAATGATTCATGCCAAAATTTAATACTAATGAAGATATCACTAAAAATATTACATTTTGTAAGCTCTTGAAAACAAGGAATGTTTTGTGAACTGCCATGAAAAAAATAGTGTTTAACATTTACCAGAGGCTCATGAAAATCTTTTGTATGAATGAATCCATTTCAACATTTTATCCATTACTAACAACTAGCTATCTTACTTGCTTATGTACAGACAGAAAAATCCTTTAAAAATGCAGAGAATATTAAAAAATTAGACTAATATAGCCAAGAAAACCAATTTGGAAGATGAAATTATTTAGACTGGTTGCCTTTACTGCTCTAATTACAGATAATAGCTCTGCTCCTCTCTGCTTTGACTTGTTTGTGTGGACCTTGTCTTAAAGGACAAAGTGGAGTATTTGAGGATAAGGAAAGTGGAAGATTAAATATTTCAAAGAGAATCAGAGGAATCCTGAGAGCAGATGGGCAGATTAGAGAAAGAATAGCAGAGCCACGGCAGTAGCTGCACCTGTCAAAATTTGGCTGGAATATATGTTCCCAGTTGATCTGATTTTACAGTAACAGGATGAGTCCATGAAATACTTATCCTGACACTTAAAAATTGTGGATTTTACGGTTTGCTGCTGCTCCCGCTGGGCTGCCTGTTCCATTCAACTATGCTGAATCTACATATCTGGAAATGGCATCACTTGTCAGAGGTTGAACTGCTTCCAAAAAGGCCAGTTTAGTCCCAAGAGACCCAAGATTGACAGTGAGGTCACAAGGTATTATAAGAATATAATAAAATAAATAATGGAATGTTGGGGGAAAATATTGCAGTATTTTAGTAATCAGTGAAATTGATAAATCATAAAAAGAATATTTATTACTTGGCTCTGAAACTTTAACAGAATAGAATTTGGTTTCCTTGAACTCTGTGATGCCTATAGTGTTTAAATCTATAATAAATAAAGACTAAAATTGTAGATACTGTGGCTCCCATCTTGGTAGAGTATTGAGATTTGGACTCTGTGAATAGAAGAAAGAAGGAAGGGAACTGGGATGGGTGTAGATATAGAATAGCAGCCACCTCATTTCCCTACCACCAAATAGCCTTGTTGTCCATTCCCTCCTTACACTACTACCGAATCGTCTACCAACACTCTGAAATACTTGTATCAAGATTCCCCATTAGTCAGTGATATTGCCAACTCATGTTCCAGAATATGTGACCTAAGTCCCTTGAGTGAAACTCCTAGAAAAACAGAAGAGTAAATATTGAATCAAATGTCTTTTAAAAAGCTTAAATTTATGTATGAGTTGGCAAGAAAATAAGAAATACTGAGTTAAGGCAAAAAACCAAAAAGACATGGGAAGCATTGAAATTGGCTTTCACCTTGTGAGCATTTGCCAAATTCTGATACATTTTTACTTCCGTTTTTATGACTTTGGAACCTGTCAGGGGTTATATGGGGGTGGGGGAAGTCCAAGGTCTCCTAACTTACAGAATATGAAAAGCCCTTCCCTCATAAAACTGGACCTCAAAGAACTGCAATCTCAGTGGAAAGGTGAGAGCGAGCATAAAATAATTCATCCGACCACCCACCTCTAAAAAAAAAGACTACAAAGAAAAACACCTTGGCTCCTGTTGAAGGAGAACTCCCTTGAGAATTTATAAACAAAAGCCAGGCTTCACATGGGTTTTACATTAACTCATGCTACTTATGCTACTTATTTAATCTGAAAACCTCAAGTTGAGAATGTAAAACATTTCTAGACTTGAATTAGTAGAAGACAATGCAAATCTTCTTTGTATAAACTTAACTTTATTCTAGGTCTCATGCTCCAAGAAATATTTACTCAGTCAAAATTACAAAACACAGAAATATGTCACTTAGTAGAAAAAAAAGAAAACAGAATCAGACAGACAAACAGTTTAAAATATTCAACTATCAAACTATAAAATAAATGTTTATGTTTTTTAAAATAGGAAGGATCAATAGTATAAAGATCAAGAAACTAAAAATGGCCAGCCATATTTGAAAAGTAACCAAGCAATTTTTGGAAATAAAAATATAACAATTAAAGTTGAAACTCAAATAGTGAATTTAATAAAGTTTTATTTAACAGTAAGTTAGATCTGAAAACTGCAGCAGAAAAAAACAAAGATGTGAAAAACATAAATGAAATGTTAAGACATATAGAAGAGAGAATAAGGTCTAAAAATTTTCATCAGTTAAATTGTCTATGTTTTGAAAACTATCAAGCAAGATGAATAAAAAATTTCCCTAAGCAAATCACTACAAAACTACAACTAATAAAACAAAGAATATCTTAAAACAGAAGAAAATGATAGGTTTACCTTTAAAGAAACAACAATTATACTGACAGCAGATTTTCAGTGGTACCAGTGCAAGCCAGATGCAAGTGGAATATTTTCAATGTGTTGAAAAAAAATTCTTTATCTAAATTCTATACCAAGTAAAAATATCTTTTAAGAAAAAGATAACACAATATATTTCTATGCAATGAAAACCTGATGGTTTGCTCACCAGTGGACCATCACTAAAATAATCTCTAAATTATATGCCTCAGGCAAAAGGAAAGTGATTCTTATGGAAAATCTGAGAAGTAAAAGGAAAAGAATATGAAATGTCCTTCCCTCATAAACTGGACTGGACCTCAAACACTACAATCTCAGTGAAAAGGTGAGAGTGAGTTTAAAATAATTCATTCAACCACCTGCCTCTCAAAAAATGACCATAAAGAGAATCCCCTTGGCTCTCTGTGAAGGAGAACTCCTTTGAGAATTCGTAAACAAAATCCAGGCTTCACATGGTTTTTATTTGAACTCATGCTACTTATTTAATCTGAAAACCTCAAGCTGAGAATGTAAAACATTTCTAAGCTAGAACTAGGAAAGTCACTGGTTAATATTTAAATAAATCTAAATATATATTGACTGCATTAAACAATAACCATGTATTCTGGGATAGAAAATATAAAACTACAATGCATGACAATAAAACATATTTAGAAGAGAAATAATTGGATTTACAGACATTAAATTATATTGTTTTGAAAGAGATGGAAAATATTGATTAAATTTAGACTTCAAAAAATATTCATGTTAAATTTGATAGAGTAACCATTAAAAATACATTTAAAAACCTATATTTTCAAACTGACAGAAGAAAAATTTAAATAAGAAAAATAATCCAAAAGAAGGCAAGAATAGAGAACAATGAAGCATAGAAGCAAGATAGTCAAAAACACAAACTATGACTGTAGAAATAATTTCAAATATATCAGTAATTCCAATAAATGCAAATGCAAAAAAAAATTTAAAAAATAAAGATTATGATTAATTTATTGGATTCTGTCAGATTTCTTTTTAAAAAGCAATTTATAAAATATACATCTAAGACATAGGATTCAGAAATATTAAAAGTAAAATGATGGAAAAAGATTTATCAATCAAAAGAAACTGGTGTCACGCTAATGGTATCAGACAAAATAGACTTGAAGGGAAAAAATGGATTATTACAGATAAAAATATTACTACATATTTAATAAAAGATTCAGAAATATATAAAAATCCTAAGCCTTTACTCATATAGTAGCCTTTTAAGTATAAATAGCAACAATCAAGAATTACAGGAAGAAGTCAACCTAAGCAAACAAAAATTATTGTTACATCAGTAAGTTATATATTTAATGGGTGCACTTAACAAGCTTTACATACATAAAAATATATAAATAACTGGATCCAACAATTGCAGAATACACATTGTTTTCAAACTCACAGAGAACATTATAAAATTCATCAGATAAATGAAGAGTGCATCTCAACAAATTTTAAAGGGCTAGTATAACCATCACATTTTCTGATCTTAATAACTTTAAAAGAAATCAATAATGAAAATATAACCATTAAAATCTCCATATATTTGGATATTAAGAAATATCTAAATAATCAAGGAGATAAAAAAAAGAAACCACAAGGAAAATAAGAAAATATTTTCAACTGAAAGATAATGAACATACTACATATTAAATTGGGTAGAATGCATTGGAAGCATTATTTATAATCATAAACATTTGTATTAGTAAAGAAGAAAGTTTAAAAATTAATGAAGTAAACATGCAATTAGCTTTAGCACTTTTCTATGCGACCCTGCAAAAGTGACTTAACCCCTCTGTGCCTCAGTTTCCTCATCTAAAAATAGTACGAATATAGTACTTATTGAAGATTGTTTTGAAGATCAAATGAGTATGAAAAATATTTCACATTTCCTCCAGATCTACTCTCCTGACTTCTCCACTCTGTTCTGTATCTCAGGACGCTTACCTACATAGACTACAATTATAAGACTTTCCGGATCTCTGTAAATCTCAAGCAATAGCAGGAAATAAGTTGATCAGAAAAGAAAGAATAAGGATACTTATTCACATAGCTCCTTCACTCTACGCCAAAATTTGGCAATGGTTGCATTCCTAAACTTAAGATTACAAGTCCTGTTTGGTGGCCAGGTTACAGTAACTGCCTTCTCCTGTACTTTAAGGCTTAGAGGTGGCAGAGGCTTACCGTTGTTGTTACCCTAGAGTCTTTTACCATCTATTGTTGGTTTCCTTTAATCCTAACCACAATGTTGTAGAAAGGGAGAGAAATACGGATCAAAGGGTACAAAGTATCAGTTAGACTGAAGCAATAAGTTTTAGTAATTTATTGCACTGCCTAGGAACCACAGTTAATTATATTGTATATTTCAAAATTGCTAAAAGAATAGATTTTTAATGTCCTTTTAATGTCCTCATCACAAACAAAAAGCTGATGAGGTGATGGGAATGTTAATTAGTTTGACTCTACAATGTATACATAGATCAATGTATACACGACATCATATTCCATATAATATATATAAAGTGATTTGTCAATTAGAAATAAATTAATAAAAAAGAAATTTTAAAAGGTTGGTGAGAGGGATGGATTTAATATAGATTATTGGCAGTAGACTGTCATACATAAACATAATGGCAGTAGAGAAGGGGAGCAAATACAAGATTACCTAGATTTATTTTTCTTGCTAGAATTAGGCCATTTAATAAGCATGTCTCAGCAACTTTCAGACTTAGATGGATTTAAGGTTTAAAGTCCCTCAGGTGAGATAAGAATAGTATGGAAAATAATGCACTACGAGGAAGTTGAGATTAAGAAATACAGAAATCCTTATAATGATTGAACTTGGAAAAAAACAACAGGAATGGTATTGGGCAGAAATGTCTTGCCCAGTGTCCTTCCCACACCCATATTCTTCTGGTTTCTCTCTTTGATAACTATTTTTCAAGTTCAGTTTTAGAAAATAAAGAACTCCCCTCTCTATCCCTTGTGTTACGCTCTGAAACAGGGATATTTACACTAGTTCTGAGAACTGAACATCACTAGGAGTCACCAGCATTCTGTGCTTCTGCAGGGAAAAAGCTAATTCAATTGTGCCTGGATATTTTATTGAAATGAGAACAAAGAATGGGTAAGTAAAACAAATAAAATACCACCCCTAATTTACACAGAATTGATATGATAAAATGGCATGGAGCCATAATAATCATCTTTGTTGAAGAAAGCTCCCCTTACAATCCTTTGAGACTTGGCTCAGATTTCCAAGAGAACCCTGTGGATCCTCAGGTTAGGTAGAAGTCCAACCTCTCCATTTTGATAATAACATGAATATGTAATCAATAAATTCCCCATTAAACAGAAATTTATAATAACTTCGTTTCATGCATTACTGTAGGGCAACGACAATGTTGCTTTATCATCATATGCCTGCACTGTATCATGTCATGTGCATAAACATAGGTGTTCGATAAATATTTTTTTGAATTGTGGCACCAAAATCATCCCATATAAAATAACGTGATGCCACCACACATATATGCTCCGCTTAATCTAAATGCCACCAAAAATAGCCCTCCAATACAAGGTACAATATTTAATCCATTATTGAAATAAAGAAATACATTCAACTATATTAATATAAACAAGAAAATTTTCCTCAGGCAGGCTATACCCTGGCTCAAAACAAAACTTCAACTGATGCCATTGATATGTAATGCAGATGCTTCATGCCAGATGAAGTATTTGAAATAGGAAAACAGTGAATGTGATTGTTCACATTCAACTTTGAATACAGATATCTTAAGTGCTAAGCTTTTTTATACAGCCTTTTTTTCTTGGCAAGATTATTTCATCTCCTCAAAACATTTTCAAACAATTTAATAATGTAATATGACGTAATGTAATGTCCTCAAACAATACCAGAGTGTATGAAAGACAATATAATACAATAACGGGGTCCCTGTAACAACTCCAGCCCTGATTCGCTAATGACCTAAGTATATCATTATATATATAATACAAACTATTTGTACTAGAAGTTTCTAAAACTTCATGAGAAAAAGACATATCGTGCCTCTATAAAAATAGCCTTTTCTCATTAAGAATATTTGTCGTTCAAATATTCTTCGTTCAAATATAAGAATATTCAATTCTAAATATTTAAGATTTTATGAAAGTTAAAACAAGGGAAGTAACTCATTCCTATAGTGAAGTAGAAGCACCTGGTGCAGACTAGAAAAGAAAGACTAAGAGAATCTAGGTTAAGAGTAAAGTATATTAGGGAGAAAAAACCCTATCAGCTTAGCATCAATTCTTTTTTCACATTCCACTGACAACTCTCAATGATATTGAATTTGGTTATATGTGTTCTCATTGGAAGCCAAATTTTTGTTTAACATTTTAGAAAGCAGTGCAGCACCTCTGGTGGAATACCCTCTTATCCTATGGGGAAGGGTCTCAAGTATGACCTCTTCAGGCCTTTTTTCTTTAGTCATGATTTTAAGAGCCCACCAAAATGTCCACCCTCTCCCTCCTGAGGTTGCCTAAGCAGGATAACTTTGAAGTTCAGCCCCAAATCTGATAGTATGCATACCTAAACTTCACTGTAGAAAAACTCCAAGGGTTATTATTAGAAGTTTGTTGCGAGGTTGGAGAAGTCAGTAACTTTATAATTTCAACTGTTTTCTGAGAGCCTCTGGGACACTGTCCTAGATAAGCATGGTGTATAAAACATTGGTATATGATTTCTTATATCAAATAGCATGGTAAGACATAGCCTGGCTTTGCTTCACCAATATTAAAGGAAGTGGAATACTCAAAGGCAGAAGTGCAACATAGGGCTAGAGTACAGACACTGAAGCCAAGGTAAGGTTCAAATGCTCCATTGTTTCTAAGCCTCAGTTTCTGTACCCATAAAATGGTGCTAATGATATTTACCTCATGGGGCTATTAAAAGATTAAGTTGGCCGGATGCAGTGGCTCACGCCTGTAATCCCAGCACTTTGGGAGGCTAAGGTGGGCAGATCACCTGAGGTCGGGAGTTCAAGACCAGCCTGACCAACATGGAGAAACCCCATATCTATTAAAAATACAAAAAATTAGCCTGGCATGTTGGTGCATGCCTGTAATCCCAGCTACTCAGGAGGCTGAGGCAGGAGAATCACTTGAACCCAGGAGGCTGAGGGTGTGGTGAGCCAAGAACGCACCATTGCACTCCAGCCTGGGCAACAAGAATGAAACTCCATCTCAAAAAAAAAAAAAAAAAGATTAAGTTGAATAAGATATGGAAATGCTTAGCACAGTGCTTCACACGTGAGAAGTAGTCAAAAGAGGAGGGTTAGTATTATGCTAAGAACCAATAACTAGTGTATTAGGCTGTTCTTGCGCTGCTATAAAGAAATATCTGAGACTGGATAATTTATGAGAAAAGAGGTTTAATTGGCTCACGGTTCTGGAGGCTATACTGGAATCATAGTGGCATCTGCTCCTGGGGAACTCTCAGGAAGCTTTCAATCATGGCAGAAGGTGAAGGGAGCAGGCACATCACATGATGAAAGCAGGAACAAGTCAGAGAGAGAGTGGTTGGAAGGAACATTTTTAAATGACCGGATGTCACAAGAGCTATCACAAACACAGCACCAAGCCAGAAGAGATTTGCCCCCATGATTCAAAACCTCCCACAAGGCCCCACCTCCACCACTGGAGATTACAATTCAACATGAGGTTTAGATAGGTACGAATACCCAAAGTATATCAACTAGTATACACAAAGAGTATTAAATATTTAACCCTTTTTAACTTTCTTTCAAATGAAACTTTTTTCTTCCTAAAACACGCACAGCTAAGAATTTCTTTGCTTGAGTCTTTTAATCACTTCTTTATAGACATTAATCCTGTATTTTTTTCTCTAATTTGTACTGTAATTTGATCCTTTTTTAAAGAAAGCCTGTTTGAGGCTGACTCTTCAGATTCTTTGTACAGCATACTTAAACTATAAAAATGAACTTAGGATTTTCATGTATGTTTTGGGGAAGAAGTTCTGAGGGGTGTTAAATAATATATATCTATTTTTTAAGGATCAAATAAATATCATGGATTTTGCAAGTGAATAATGATTTGTGAATCAAGCCTCACTATATTAAGACTATACTGAGTGCCCCTTTTAGGACAAGACTAACAGTTTGTTTCTTTAAGCAGTTTTTTAAAAAAATTATACTACAGTTCCTCTCATGCCTTAGGCTGACAGTTGCAGTCTCCATGACATTTACCACTGTTAATTTTATTTTGGCTGCATTTGTAATAATGCCATTTTATTCATCTTTAACATACCAAATTTGATTAGACTTCTATCATATGAAGATATAATTCCAGTATAATAAAATAAACATGCTATGTTAAAGATCTCATATGGTCTCTTGCATGTACTCTGATCTCTGCTTTTAAAGCTAGGGATAAACACTATAAATATTGTATGAATTAAAACTTTGTCACATCAGTTTTATTGTAGTACTAATAGGCTGGCAGAATACATTTCATATTATGGTGATACAAATGCTTAATCTCTGAGCAGAACAATAAAATTCAGAAACATAACATTCCTTTGTGGGGAGGAGTTGCTTTTAAAGGAGCTCAATAAAAAAATGCAAACTGATTACTCCAAGCACACTGAAAATTAGGCATCGCCAGAAGGAATGTGTAAAAGGCTTTCTGATAGCTTGGATTAGAGACAACGATTCCCACAAAGCCTATCAGAGATAAATGAAATAAATGGAAGGAAGATGCAAACTCGGTCTTTGTTCCAGTAACTGCCGAATGTCATATTGGAATTCTCAACACAAAACCAAATGACTAGCAAGATCATCTGCATGCAAATGTAGAGTAAGTGACCCTCCCCAGCTCAATAGCTATTTTGAGATAATTGAAGTCTATACTATAGAAAAGTAGTTTCTTTCAAAGACTATGTTGCCTTTTCATGACACCTTAAAAATTCCATGTGAGTACTTAATGGCTAAAAATATTTTACTTTTACAGTTTAATCCTGTTTCTGTAGCTGTTCAGCATCTGAAACCCTTTCCTACTTGGTGAAAGGCTAGTTTTCATTTCTCTGAAATTCAAAGGGGGTCAGAGACTACCTCTCCCTGCCCCGACAGGTAGATCAGGTGACCCAGGCTTGGCCAATCTGATGATCCTTCCTGCCACTTTGCATTGTGAGCAAGTGATAGAAAGGAGCAGGGACAGTTTGGAATTCATTTCACGAGGCATCTTGCAGCGGGAAGTGCAGCGCTGCCCAGGGTGGAGGCCGAGGGTAGTGTGACAGCAGCAGAGCTGGGCGGGGCACCCCAACCAGGCTGTTCCTGCAGCATGACCTTGGCTGTGGTTCTTGCTGAGGAACCTGCCTGCATTTTTGCCAGTTTATAGCGTCTTCAGGCTTCTCCGCAAACAACTGAGCTTCCTGATATTCTGCCAGCAGATCTCTCTTTTGCTGAAGTTAACAAGAGTCAGTGTCTGATGCTTGCAACAAAGAACCCTGACTGACACGTAGAGGGTTTTCTTATTGTAAAGTGTTGTCGGCACTGCTCTAATATGTTTTGTTCTATGTATGAAATGAATAATAATACTTGATGGAAATATACCCACTCTTCCACACATCTCTCTATATAATGAAATCCTCATAATTCTAAGGATTCATCTGATAAAAAATATTGTTTCAGAGACAGAATAGTCAGAATTAAAGATTTTTATTGTGGGCGTGTTACGTCACATAATAGGCACAACAAAGGATTGGTCACTAAAACTAACAGAATGCAGCTATTGAAAGAAAAATTATGTAAGGAATGTCCATCTCTGTATAAGTAAAAATGTAACTTAACAATATATAACTAGCAAAAGATTTTGGGAGGCAACATAGCAAATTTATTAAGACTAAGAGTTCCAGTTCAGATTTGCCACTGACTAGCCATGTGATTTTAACCATTCTACATCTTATCTTCCACATCTGTCAACTGTTTGTGCTGATACCATTTAGTTCACAGGGCTAAAGTGAGAATTAATCGGGATGCTAATATAAATTTGTGAGTGCAGTACTAACACACAGTGAGAGCTTATACATGATGGAGGCCCATCTGCCAGGTAAGTCTGTTGCACTCACACACCAATACCACTCCCGGCTTTTCCGAGGTTCCGGCATATTGATTTGTTGGGATTTATGTTGGGAAGCTCATATTAGCATTCTGTCTCTTCCCTGGTCCCTCAGGGATTTCATTAAAGGAAACTATCCTTTCCCTGCCTCAGCCACTAGGGAACTCCAGGTGCCGTAATGCTGGTATTGTTGTTTTCTGCTCTATGTGACATTTAATGAGAGAAAAACAAAAACAAAAAAAGCCAACAACTTTATACTGTGAATAATATTAGCAAGTTTGCTCTAGAATAAAAAATGCTGATGATTTAGACAACGAAAACAGCCATTAGGGAAGTACTATTGAATTCTTTTTTCCTTTAAAATTAGCTCCTCATGCCCTTCCTCACCTTTGACTAAGAACTGATCCACGGAAAAAGAATCCTGAAACTTCCAAGTTACAGACTATAAGAAGTCAGATTAATGCATAAAAGTTGCTCATCATTAAAGGAGTAATCGCAAATCTTTACCTCCAGCAACCTAGCGCAACCCATCATTCTCTCCCCTGCCCCACTGCTCATGCCTCCTAAGGGATCTCCCTGCTCTTCACACTGGCTCCCACCCATTCTCTAGTCATCATCCTGAGTGATCTTTTAAAAGCATACATCAAATCACCTCAATGCATCTCACGAAACTTTCATTCATCTGCCTCTGCACTTAGAATAAAATCTAAGCCCCGTCCATGTGACACACAAGGTCCCACATACTCTGTACTTCAACTTCCATCTTGAATGCCTTTACCCTTGCCTATTGTGTGAACAAGCTGAAGACTTCTCCAAATGGACTTCCAAGTCAGATTTCCCTCTGCATGACTTACCTCCTTCCCCCAGATCATTTCCTTGTTGTATCCTATCAGACAGGACCCCTCTTAGATGTCACCACCACCCAAGTACTTTCTATCTCATCACTGTTTTATTTTCTGCAGAGCAGTTTTCTGAAAAAAAATGCTGCATATTTATTTCTTTCCCATTCCCCAATGGAGTTAAGCTCTATGCATGCAGGACCAATTCAGGTTTGTTTACCAGTGTGTCCCCAGTGCCTTAAACAATACTTGACACATGGTAGTTCAATAAATATTTGTTACCTGACTAATTGACTGAATGTATGATTCAAAAGATAATGGTTTCTACCACGCACCCCTCACTCCCTTTTCTGAAAGTTTCTCCCCTTTCCTGAGTAGGATTCTGCCAGTAAGAAAGAAAGAAAATGCTCTGCAGCCCCCAGCAACTTCTGGTTCTGCCAGTACAAGGGACATACATTGTTTGTAGCCTCTGCCAGTTTCCCAGATAACAGTCTGAACTCTCCTTTGCTAGCAGGGTCTCTCACGCTCCCCGGACTAAGAAATCACCCAGGATTGCACACCTAAATCAGACCATAGAAGACAACCTCATATGGTAACACCACACCAGGCTCAGGACAGGAAATTTACTCACCACACATCAAGGTAATGAAGGTAACCAAGTGCGATTTCACACCAGGCTTCCTGCTCCCAACAACAGAGGATGAGGGGGCAGCTCATTAACCAAGTTTGAATTTAAGTATAAAATGCCATATTTTCACAGGAGGAAATAGATGTGTTTTCTGTTAAGAATTCCAGTCTGAGTTCTCACTCAGCCTTTAATTCCTAAATGCAGAAAAAAACTAATAAGCTTCTTAGAATACATACATAAGAAGTTCTGTTTAACCCTAAGCTATTTAACACCTCAGTGGTTTTATAAGCACCAGTCTCATTAAATCTTGTGTGTGTGTCTTTGTGTGGGTAAGGCAAAGGGTGGCCGGGAGAGATCACTGCCACTGAACAGTCACATTGAATAAGCCATAGGACTGAAATTAGGAGGCAAGCAACAGTGACATCTAGTGTGGGTAAGAAATGCCAATACTGGCAAACTGCTTTTCTTTCTATAGCAAAAGACAGGACACAAGAAAGATGGTAGCAAATTAGGGTCAGAAAAGTGAAGATGATGCCAAATGTGAAACAAGAATGCAGATATACTAGATGACTACAGGAAAAGATTCTTTTCCAATTCCTTTGCCACTAAATGTTCTTCCTAGTTATATATTATTATGCACTTTCTTAGCTGAAAAAGCCCCTAAGGTGACCCAGCCTCCCACTTCTGCTCTCCCTTTCCCCTAAACCCTCCCACTGTGCCCTCTGGATCTCCTGTCTGGAATCAGTAAGCTCTTCTTATCCTCTTCTTGGAACATTTCTTTGCCTCTTGTTTTAAAAGGAGTCTGTTGGATACTACTTGCCCTGAAACCCCCCTGAGGAAAAGCTCTTTCATTTGTTGATCACACCCTGCCATGATGGCTGCTCTTCTTGCCTCCCGTTGCTTATCTATATCTCCCTCTTACAAAAATTTCTGATCCTTTGAGCTCCTGCTAAGCAGATGTGTCACTCTATCCCCACTATACTTGTTGCAACCATCTGACAAATCCCTGCTCATTCACAACCATTTGTTGAATATTTTAACTCTTGTTCACAATTTTTTCTAGACCCACCCTATCATCGTTTTCAATATCATCAACATCCACTTGATGAACCACGGCTGCTCAGCTCTTCAACCTCCTCAACTCCAATGCCTTCCCCTCCACCTCAGCCACCTACTCCCATTGTCCCATTTGTCATCAACAGAAGCTGCAACATTTCTGAAAACTCACTTCAAACCTCCCACTCACATATATTTCTCCTATTCAGTCTCTCAAGTACACCCACTAACCTATTCCACCAGCCACAGTGAAACCTCGAATCCATTAACCCCTTTACTTTCTGCACCTTCTGTCAGTCCCTACCTGGACTCACTGCCCTCCTTATCCAGTCCATATACTCAAGGTCTAATATTGTATTTGCTGCTCTGAAAATACACTTGATTCTCTCATTCTTTTCTCCTTCCACCACACTCATGGTTAATATTGCTTATCCTTGCCTAGTTAAGCAGTCAAACATTCCTAAAGAAAAATTAGTAAACCCACCTGACTGGTTTTACTTTAAATTCATGACTACCAACCTTAAGTAGATACTCACTACTGGCTGGCAATCCTGCTATGTTTCTCAAGTAGTATAACTTCCTAACTCACCAAGAACTATTTTATACATACTTCAACCTCACTCTCATATAACAGACTCACCTCATTACTCTTCGAAAATAAAAAACTCAATGATCCACTTTATATTCTCAACCTTAAACCTATAAACCTACCAGCATCCACACCCATTTTTTCTTCTTCCTTCCTCCTATCAAAGCCTACAATGTGAATGTATGCTCAAGCTCCCACCTTATCTCTCACCTTCTCAAGGTCTTCACTAGTCAATCTCTCCCCCTTGTGCATCAGCAATTTTCCCTTCTCTGCTGCATCAGTTCTATCTTTATACAAACATGCTGCAGTATCACAGATCAAAAACAAGCAAAAACCTCTCTCAATCCCAGAATTTTCTGTTCCCTCCTTTGGAGCCAGATTCCTCAAGAGGCATTACTGGTGCTGCCTCCACTTTCTCACCTCCCATTCCCCCTTCATTCTGGTTCCTGCTCCCCACTGCTCTGGCAAACACTTCTTGTCCTTAACCTCTCAGGAGCATTAATCAGAGTTGACAATTTCATCCTTCCACTGAGGGCAGGACTTTACATTCTGAGTTTTCCTCCTGCTTCTCTGGTTATTCCTTGTCACTCTCCTTTCTAGGCTCCTTAGCCCCCATACTAAAGCTATAAATATTAGTAATTCTCAATGCTCAGTCTTGGCCCAACTTCCCTTCTCCTCTTCGAGGATGGTGTGCATTCTGACCGAAAATACTATTAATATGTTTCTCCCAGAAACTAGCATGAATCTCTACTTTGAGCCCCGACTCACATATTCAGTTACCTAACATCTTTACTTAAATATTTCACACACATCTCAATATTATTATGTCCAAAGCTAAGTATTTTTTGTCCTTTCAACCTGTCCTTCACTCTTCCCAATCTCAGTACACAGCACCACTACAAAACCTGGTGATCATTTTTTATTCTTCCTTCCCTCTCTTTCCCACATCCAAGCATTTAACAATTTCTGTATTTTTTTTATATCTAGCATATATCTTGAATTAGAGTATTTCCTCCATTTTTACTGCCATTATCATATTCCTGGTCAACATTATCTCTCACTTGGTCTCTAAAAAAGTAGAGTCAAGATAGATTAGATGATGCTCCAACAACCGTAAAATCTGAGTGACCAAGAAAGAAAAAGAACGAGAAATATTTGGCACTAGTGACTACAAAGTCTGCCCCTTTAGTCATCAAATATTCCATTCACCATCTTTCCCACAGGCCCAATAACTACCCCTACTCCAGAGAGACAACCTGCATTGTATTAAGCTCAAAGTTCAGGATCTCTTGATGATATATGATGGGCTCTCATCTTAGTGTGGCTTCTCTTAATATGGAGACTATAAAGAAACAGAAACTTCCGCACATATACCCAAAATACAATAGTGGAACAGGGTCAGGATAACTGCAATAAACATGCCCATTTAGAAAGCAAAAGAATGAGAGGAAGACCAAAGTAGTCAATGTTCCATTGTAATTATGAAATTCTACCTGGGGGTGGAGAATGTTCTTTGATTAGGCTCCAATTCTCCTGGAGAGAGATTCCCTAGTCCATTGTTTGTCATGACCTTGGCTCTGCCCTTGGAGAAGATCTTTCTTTTTCATCATCCAACATGGCCACTTCTAAAATAGTCATTGGAGAAAATGCCCTCCCAACCCTCACCTCCCACCCCTTTGGGCACTGAGCCTGCTTCCTACCTTTAGATATTTGAGGACCCAAGGAACACAAACATATCTAGTTCACACTGTGATTTCTTTGATATACAACTCTTTCAAAAAGTTTGCTTCTCATCTATTTGATTCCAGCTAGCTCTGTGTGCCATTTACCACACCCATAATCCTTTCAAGGCATATCTTCTCTCCTTTTCCCCTCTCCTCTCTCTTTTCCTGTCTCCTTTTTCACTAAAATTTTGGCTCTGTGAGATCTATGATTTTATTATTTACTGCTGTAACCACAATACCAAGCTCAGTGCCAGGGATATAGTAGACACTCAGGAAGTAGTTGTGAAATGAATGAATAAAGGAACCTTACCTGAACTTTGAATTATGATTCTGCCTTCAGGTCCAGTTTATGCTTCTTTTAACTATTTCATTCTTCTTTCTTCTCATCTTCACCTTGTAAAAATGATATCACCTGCTGGCCCAAGTCTAAGTAACTTCTTGTCCTAACCTGTTTTCTTCTCTACAAGTTTTCACTTCTTCACTCAAGTATACTTTGGACCCTGAGAAGTTGAAGAATTCTAACTAATATTCTTCACCTGTTTTCCTAAAACAATATTGGCCTTTTTAAACTCTAGAGCAGAGGTTTTCAATCTTAGCTGCACATTAATATCAGCTGGAGAGCTTTTGAAACTCAATTCACTAGCAACATACCAAGGCAATTAAATTAAGAGTCTCTGAGGGTGAGACCTAGACATCAGTACTTTTTAGAGCTGCCCAGGTTATTTCAGTATGCAGCCAAAGTTGAAAACCACTGTTCCAAAGTAAGCTTTCTCTCCACCTCTTTCTTTCCTCCATGACTCTGAACCCTAATACTGATTGCTCAACCTGTGGATCTACCATCATTCCAAACAGCAAATCAACAAGTATTGAATTCCCTAAGTACTCACATCTGTGACTAATTTACTTCCTCCTCATTCATTTTCCCCCTCCCAGCTGCGCCTTTCTCTTTCTATTCATGGCACTAAATTCATGGTTTTAACAATTGCACTTTAAATTACTTTTCAGATTTGATCCCACATCTTCTCTTCTCCTCAATTCCAAAACTTTGCTTGAGATTTCATATAAATCTTCTATATTTTCCCATCCAGCACATGAGCTCATTCTCTCTTGCTTTCACTCATTCTCACCCACTTGTCTTTATTTTTTGTTTTAATCATAAAAAACAGTATATCCAGACTTTTAGTAATGTAGCTTATCTCTGTTATGTTCACTGTCCTCTGATTTGTCCTGATTCTTGCTTTCTTGACTACAGTTACTGGTCAGCACATCCTCCTGCAGATATCTTTCTAAATATGACACTGTACTAGAAGGACACATTGTTATTTATTGTCTCAATGTCTAAAAAAAATCTATAAACATGCAAACCAATATTTCATATGCCTTGCTATGAGCCTAATTTATAAAAAGAGGGTATTTTTAAAGAGAATAAAAAATGGATATTTGAAGATCCATAATCTTAAAACATGTATAAATAAGCACAAATGTATATGGTCAGGAATGGGAATATCTTTTGACAGCTTATCAACCTCCCTTAACATGTCAGTTGGTCCTGAATATGTGTCTGTAGGATGTCAGACTCTTTCAGGGCCTGAAGCTGGGGCTAGAAGGTAACATCTCTGGTTAGCTGGCACTTGAACTTTCTCCGTAGATTCCATCATACTGTAAATGGGACAGAGCAAGCTGTTGGAGACTTGACTGGGAAATAAGTTTCTGGTCCAAAGTATAATTTGGGCAGGTCACAGGTTCATACAGCAGTTGAGTTCAATTCAGACCCAGCTGGACGCAACAAGCTAGCAGTAGAAACAATCATGATCAGACAGAAAAATAATATTCACTCATCTGCTTCTTGATTTCCTGAACTGCCCCAGACATGGTGCAAAGCCCTGAGATTAAGAACATCAAGGACGAGTGAAGAAATAAATATACTAAAATAATGGTACTACCATTCAAAAATTGAGATGTACATTGGGTAGAAACATGACATAAAGGAGGGAGTATTTGAATAGGTCCCTAAAATTTGCTGGGAACCAGGAGATAGAAATTGCGGAATTAGTGGTGGCAGTTCACGCCTGTGATCCCAGCACTTTGGGAGGCTGAGACGGGCAGATCATGTAAAGTTAGGAGTTTGAGAGCAGCCCAGCCAACATGGAGAAATCCTGTCTCTACTAAAAATACAAAAATTAGCCAGGCATGGTGGCAGGTGCCTGTAATCTCAGCTACTAGGGAGGCTGAGGCAGGAGAATCGCTTGAACCCATAAGATGGAGGTTGTGGTGAGCTGAGATCACACCATTGCACTCCAGTCTGGAGACAAGGGCAAAACTCCATCTCAGGAAAGAAAGAGAAAACAAAAAAAGAAAGAAGGAAAGAAAGAGAAAGAAAAAGAAAGAAAGAAAGAAAGAAAGAAAGGAAGGAAGGAAGGAAGGAAGGAAGGAAGGAAGGAAGGAAGGAAGGAAGGAAGGAAGGAAGGAAGAAAGGAAGGAATTGTGGAATTTAAGTATGTGGAGGAACATAGCAATCATTAATTGACAAAAAATCTGCTGGGCTATTTTGAAAAGCAATGAGCTTCCTTCCCATGAAAAAGGAAGCTGTTCACATCTGACAGAGATGCTGAAAAGTTCTTCACCAGGAGGTGAAGATAAAGCTCTATATTGAGTACTTATTCCCCCTCTGCAATCCTAGAGCTCAAATGGAGAGCTAAAAATAGAAGTATGTAGATAAAGATATGTATGCACATATTATATCCATATAGACAGAGAAAAATATAGGAAAAACTCTACTTAATACATAGACTTGGAAATTTTAAAAAGAAAATCACCAGTAGTGAAATTAATGAAGTGAAATGGAACAATTTCACTTGCAAAATCTTTCCAAATGTACTATCTTAAAATAACGTTAAGACTCTCATGATGAGACTAGTGGTGGTTCTATTAACTCACGCAAACACTGAGGACATTTTCAATCATTCTGTGATAAACTGTCACACAGCAGCCTAATTAGCTCCACAGACTGCTTTCATTTAAGGGCTTTCACTGTGTTACTATTCTAATCATTTTTAAATGTCCTCCTCAGACTATTTTCTATTGTACTGTTTTTCACTCTGGGATCCACATTTTATAGGCCTCCCAAAAGCTCCTCATCATTTTAAAGATTGTATTTCTAATAGTGTCTTTGATTATGTTGCAAACTCCTTAATCTATATGGTATTGTGTTGGTCGTGTTAGCAAAGTGTGATCTGAAAGAATAAATCCCTGTAACATTCTATGAACACCAATGAAGAAGGGGTTAATGATTTTTCAGCTGCATTTCTTGCTGGTGAATATGGCACAGATGAATATTTTTAAAATGAATATGAACGGTTTTAGATGAGTGCTCCTTAAATGTCACTGCGCATTAGTCATGCAAGGATCATTAAGGGGTATGAGAGGTAGACTTGCATCCAAGACATAGATTCTTGCTGAAGACTGTTACTGTCAGAGTTGCCAGGTTAGACTATGCTGGTAATGATTATTAATGTAACTGAAGCATTAAACGGTTCATTTTTCTCCATTTTTCTTCATATACAACAATATTTCCAAAATATTCATAAAAATGCATTTTTCTGCATGAGTCCTGGGGTGGCAGAGAATACAAAGTAAATAAAATGGTACAAATATCAAAATAAATGCATGCAATGGAAATTATCTTCTACTAAAACTTAACAATAAATTAATGTGTCTATTTATAGGCATAAAATCCATTCCTGCTAATGAACCATGTTAGTTTTCCAGGGAAACATGAATCATTGAGCGTCTCTAATGTTTAAATGCCAGTAGATAACAATAGGTTTTCTTCCTTTTTGATAGTTATGTTAGATATAAATCCCTGGTTTATAAGTATACTTTACCTTAAGATAATATCCAGTGCCTCCCAAATGTTTCTGTGCCACATGAGAGACAATTCACAATCTCACAAAATACACTGAGTAGCAAATCATCTAGAATTTGTTAGAATATCAAGTTGCTTGAAAGAGTCTTGAGATCAATCACCAAAGAATAGGTTCTTTGAAATTAGCCTGATTGCCCCTAGACAGCCTATCTGTGCCATTGGCATATTCTCACTGTAGGAAGAGGGGATAGGTCTGGATCAGTGGTCTGAGTAAGGCCCTAGCAGCTTTTCTAAGAAAAAATACCTTTTTTCAATACCAGGTTCCATATATCCATTTCCTTTGACTCTAAGCAAATCACTTAACTTCAGTTTCTTCATCCATAAAGTGAGAAGTTTGTCATGGGGATGACAAGCCTGCTTAAAGCTTTTAATAAGGTTCTTTGAAGACAGCCAATACAATTCACTGTAAATTATAATATGGCAATTTGAATTTAAATAATTTTTTTCTCCTGAATAATATTAGATACTCAGTACTCTTTGTCAGTGTAGTAAATTATTCTGTAACTAGGTAAAGCTAGCCAGCAAAGTGTGAAAAGTTGCTGTCAGCATCTTAACTTTGCACAAAAAAAATCACTATAAAGTGGCAATGTCTTTCATTTTATCGAAATATGAGTAAGGTGGCAAATAAAAGTGATTTTAAGCCTAGTTGTTAAACAATGAGTTCTTAAATTGAGTAGAAATCCCCATGCAAGGAAAAGAATTCAATGGTTTCTATCGTTATTACTATTATGTTTTCAGAATCCAAAGCTTTATATTAAAAGCTGTAATTAAATTTTTAAAAATTAAATATCATAAACAAAATTTCCTTTTCTATGTAGATTAAAAATTATTTTTATATCCTGACAAAAATACAACTCTGCAAAAAGTTTTTCCTGTCTTCCTAACTCTATTCATCAATCTCCTGTATATAATCAAGTAAAAAAAGTCTCCCAAAGCAACTCAAATGATTAAATAAACTAGCCCTAAATATCACAACCTCATTAAATGAGTTTGAGGTAGAAGTAGCAGGGCACAAATGCATCATAAACATAGTTATAGTCGTAGGCCAAATAGGAGAGTAACGACTATAAAACTCGCCTACGACTTCAGACACATTTTCACTAAATAATATGCTTCATTCTCATCCCCATTAAGTCCTTTAGTAAGAGTATGATTGTGAATATAATCATTGAGATGAAAAGGCCCAAGAAAATTAAATGACAGATCCAATAATCCTTTAAATATCAGTTGCAAAGTGATGATTGAAAACACACACACACAGGCACACACAGAGGTTGGGGCTGGCCCCATGCTTGGTACAGCGGGTATGCAGAGGAACTGTAACCATAGCCTCCAGCATCCTTTGCCTCAGCCAACCCACCTTCCTCACTCCTAGTATCACCAGAATGAAGCCTATATGTCTTTGCATTGCCCCTATAGCCCCATCAGGCTTTGTCTTCTCTGCCTGTCTCTCCAGATTTATTTCTTGCAACTTTGCCACATATACTTCATGTTCTTGTCCAACTTTCTCTGACATGTTATGCACACACAATGCTGCTACATACAAACTTTCTTTCACTCCTCATTCTTCACTACTCAGGACCTTTCTTCATCTTTTAAAACTCCCCTCAGAGGATTCCTCCAGGAGGCCTTCCCTAGCCCTCCAAATCCCCAGTCTGTACTCTGATAGTACCCTATTTACTGCTGTCATAGCGCTTTTCATAGTCTGCTTCTTCTCTATTTTCTCTACAAACTGTACGCAGCTCAAGAGCAAGGACCATGTCTACCTTATTCTAGCAGCCTCAGGCCCTAGCACAGTGACTGAGACATAGTGAGTATTCAGAGTTGGGCTCTAGTGGTGCTTATGAGCTGGTCAGAAACCTAAAATATATACATTAGCAATTAAATACAACAAAAGGCCATTTCAAACTGTGAAGTGTGGAATTTGGTGCTCTTTGATATAGGAAGACTTCTAAGAGAAACAATAATTTGAACTGAGCCCATATGAGCAAAGAGGTGGAGGAAAGAACAGCCAGTATGACGACCGGAAAGCCAAAAAATCAAGGGTTTGGACCTAACCTATAGCAGGGAAAATGAAAAGAAAGAGGCAAATCCAAACACTATAAGAATACAGTATAAGACCTTATATATGCTTGTATATACTACTGTTGGAACTGTAAATTTGTACAGTGTAAGTAGGCAATTTTCCAGGACCAAAGCCTTAAGATATACCAGCACTGTCACGACCAACACCACATTACTGTCTCTATATCTTTCCCCACCTATTAATACAATTCCACTTCTAGGAATTTTCTAGGGAAAGAAATAATTAATAATGTGTGAAAATATATATGTACAAAGTTGTTCATTACAGTATTCTAAAAATTAGCCAAAAAAGAAAAAGGAAACTAAATATCCATTAGTGGGGACTCCTTAAGTAAAGCTTCATGTTGCCATGTAATGAAATACCCAACTAACTATCCAACTGACATTTGAATGTTCATTTCCTGTTATAACATGATATAATAAAATCATATTAAATGAAAACTCTAAAATGTTAAATATATTAACCAACAAAAGCCCACGTTTATGCAGTACAATTTTATTTTCAAATATATTGGCAGAATCAAATCTAAAAATATCAGAATGTATGAACAATGGAGCAGTTGTGGGGAAATTTTTGTTTTGCTTATTTGCATTTTATATGTTTTTTAAATAATTATGTTTTATAATAAATTAATATTAATTAACAGAAAATTTCTTATTGGCTCTAGTAAATGAAGAAGAAAGGATAAATTAAGACAGGTGAATTATTTGGGAGAAAATGCTGAGGTTATTTTAGAATTACATGTTATGGAATGGTTGTTAGACTCCAGTGAAATCAAAGTGAAAGGGCTTTGAAAACTCTAAAGCAAAGTGACTGCATTTCTTGAAGACTCTTCTCAGAAATGTTCATAGAGGCTATGTCAAAAATGTTCCATGGTATAATAAAGATAGGATATGCTGGGTTAAGCAAAGTTAAGTAGATTCTCACTGTAGGACTTCTCAGAGCTTTTAATATGCTAGTTTTAATGTAGACATTCAAGAAAGAAACATAATATGCATTGTTTTGCAAGCATATTTGACCCTTTTCTCAAAGAATATCTGATAGGACTAATGTTTTCTTGCACATACTTTGGGAGATGCATTAAAAACACAATGTAGTATTTATTTTGAAGTCATTGCAAGCAACCGTAAATACAGGACTGGGGCACTCAATTTGAGTCATCACTTTAGGTCAGGTTTTCTTAATCTCACCACTATTGACATTTGTAGCCAGAAAATTTTTTGTTGGTAGGGGGATGCCCAGTGCATTGCAGAATGTTTGTCAGTATCCCTGGCTTCTACCCACTAGATACCAGCACCTCTACCCCCACCCTTCACCATTATCACAACCAAAAATATCCACAGGTATTGCCAAATGTCCCAGCAATGATAAAGAACACTTATTTGAGGGATTTAAGTGGTAAACTTTGGCTGAGGTCAGAATCCCCAGCTCTCCAGTCTTCTTTAATATAAACTGCCTTAACATCTTGCAAAATGCCTTTCTGCTCTAGCAAATGCAGATTGTCATCATGTTACTTTTCTAAAACACTATATCAGAAAACAACCATCTGTTAAAATGCTGCATCTGACGCCATCGTCATTTTATCTATATAACATTTTGATGAATGCTTAATTTTTAAAAAACAGTTCCAACTTTTGGAAACAAACTAAAATGCCCTCTTTTTATATTAACCACAACAAATAGGTGTGTTATTCTGGGGAAATCACTTATTCAAAGCTTTGGTTTCCTTACACACCAAAAAAATAATAATAAGGCCTAGACCTTTAGCCAATGTTATTTCTAGAGTCTTTTCCAGCACGAAAAACATCAACATATGTCATTAAACCTCACTTTTATTATTTTTAATCATGACATAAAACATTTTACACATTAAACTTATTTTCTGGTTGTTGCAATATTTTCAATTAGGAAAATGCTACATTTAGACTTTGAAACAAATTATATTCAGAAGAAACCAAGAGTTATAACTTTATACTTTGGAACCCTAATGTACAACTGGGAAAGTGAACTATGAGTTTATCAAAAACAATAATATTAATACACAACATAATGAGAAAGAAGATAGAACTTCAGATACATGGGACATCTTTAAATTATAGGTAATACTATGTTAACATTAAAATTAGAATTATTGAGGCTTCTTAAAAGCTACAAAATTATAGCTAGTAGGAGGAATAAATTCTAGTGTTCTTTACAACTGTAGGATGACTGTAGTTAAAAATAATATATAGTTTCAAATAGCTACTTAGGAGGATATTGAATGTTCCCAACACAAATAAATGATAAGTGTTTGAGATGATGAATATGTTAACTACCCTGTTCTGATCACTATATATTATATGTATCAAAACATCACTATGTACCCCCATGAATATGTGCAAGTATTATTTGTCAATTAAACAAATTTTTAAAAATTCAAACCTAAAATAATTAGAATCATTGATGAAAGAACTTTATAGAAAAAATGATAAAAGCAATTTAAAATGTTGTCCAAAGAGGCCAAGCTGAGTTTTATGACAGAAATCTTTCCTCACAACACAGGTTATTCCTATGCTATTTTAACACTTCTGATAAAGAAAAATCTTGAAACTTTGTCGATTCTTTTAAAGAAGTTATCAATCTTAATACTAAAACATGATGAATATGTCACCAAAAAAAAATACTAAAATAGCAACCTCACTAATTTAAATGCAAAAATCCTAAACAAAACATAAGTAAATCATATCCTATAAAGAATGAAAGGAAAGATCTGACATGATTAAGTGGGATTCTGTGCATGCATTCATTCATTTAATAAATGTTTATTAAGCATCTATAATGTGAATCATAATTTTCATTACTAAGGTTATATCAGCAAACAAAACAAAGATCTCTGCCTCACGGAAATTACTTTATAGCAGATGAATGAAGACAACAAATAACTTGAATCATAAATAAGTAAGTTACGCAATAGTTAGAGAATGAGGAGTGATACAGGAGAATAAAAACTAGAGCTAGATAAAGAGACCAGAACTGATGAGAATAGATGGTTGGTTGCAACTTTAAATACGTAGTTCAAGAATAGACCTCCACTACTCAGTGGAGCATTTGAACTCAGCTAGCATTTGAACAAAAACATGAATAAAATGACGGAATTAGTTTTGTGGATTCCTTGAGACAAAGGATACAACTAGGCCAAAAGTATTATGGCCTAATTATGCCTGGAAATTTCAAAGAACACCAAAGAGGTCAGTGGGGTGGGAACAGAGTGAAGCTGGGGTGGAGGAGGAGTCGGGTTGGAGAAGTAATGGGGCCAGATCCTTCAGTGTTACATTATAAAGGTTTTAGCTTTTACTCTGAGTTAGCTGGGGTGACCTTGGGGGTTGAGCAGAGCTGTAACATATATGACCTACACTGTAAATGAATCGCTCTGGCTGCTGTGTTGAGAGCTGACTGTAGGGGGAAAAGGTGGGATGAGGGAAAACAGGAGCTTATTGTGTATTGCAGGTGATACATATATATATATGGTATTTAAATCCATTAGATTAGATAATTTCAAGGATAGAAAAAGACAAATAAAGACTGAGCTTTGGGACAGAATACTGGAAGGATAGAGAGAAGAAACTAGCACAGGGCAATCCCTGTGAAAATTCCAAAGACATTTTTTACAGAAATGGAAAAAAATTTCCAAAATTTGTCTGAAACTCCAAAAGATCTTGAAGAGCCAAAGAAATCTTGAGCAGCCACAGAAATCTTGAGCAAAAAGAGCAAAGCTGAAAGCATCACACTACCTGACTTCAAAATATAACACAAAATTAGAGTAATCAAAACAGCATGGCACTGGCATAAAAGCAGACACATAAACCAATGAGATAAACTAAAAATAGAGAGCCCAGAAATAAATCCACGCATTTAGAGTCAATGAATTCTCAACAAAGTTGCCAAGAACACACAATGAAGAAAGGACACCCTCTTCAGTAAATTGTCCTGGGATAACTAGAGATACACATGGAGAAGAATGAAATTAGACACTTATCTCACACCATATACACAAAATAAACTGAAAATTGATTAAAGACTGAAATGTAAGACCTGAAACTGTGCAACTACTAGAAGAAACAATAGGAGAAAACCCCATAACATTGGTCTGGCCAATAATTTTTTTGATGTGAACCCAAAGCACAGGCAACAAAAGAAAATATAGACAAATGGGACTGCATCAAATTAAAAAGCTTCTGCACAGTCAAGGAAACAATCAAGGGAGTGAAAAGACAACTTATGAAAGGGGAAAGAATATTTGCAAGTCACATATCTGATAAGGGGTTAATATCTAAAAAATATAAGGAACACAAACAACTCCATAGTAAGAAAATAAATAACCAAATTAAAAAATAGGCAAAGGGTCTGAACAGCCATTTCTCAAAGGAAGATATATACCTGGCAAAGAGGTATAGGCAAACATTCTCAACATGACTCATCATCAAGGAAATGCAAATTAAGACAACAATGAGATATCACTTCACACTTGTTAGAATGGCTATTATCAAAAAGACAAAAGATAAGTATTGGAGAGAATGTGGAAAAAAGAAAACCTTTGAACACTGTTAGTGGAAAAGTAAAGTATAGCCATTATGGAAAACAGTGGGGAGGTTCCAAAAAACAATAGAACTACCATATGACCCAGACAACCCACTACTAGGTATATATCCAAAGAAAATAAAATCAATATGCCAAAGAGATATCTCCACTCCCATGTTCATTGCAGCATTATACTCAATAGCCATGGTATGGAATCAACCTAAATGTTCCTCAACAGATGAATAGGCAAAGAAAATACATTTTATATATAGTATTTATATTTAGTGGCATGCTATTCAGCCTTTAAAGAGAAGGAAATCATGTCATTTGCAACAACATGGATGACCCTGGAAGACATTATGTTAAGTGAAGTAAGCCAGGCACAAATAGACAAATAATGCATGATCTTGTTCATACGTGGATTGTAAAAAAGTTGAACTCATAGAAATAGAGAGTGGAATGGTGGTTACCAGGGGCTGGTAGGGAAAGAGAAATTGGAGAGTTGTTCATCAAAGGATACAAAATTTCAGTTAGATGGGAGGAATAAGTTCAAGACATCTATTGTAAAAAAAAAAAAAAAAAAAAAAAGGAGAAAAGGAAAGAAAAGCAATCAGCAAAGGAGACTGAGACTGAGAAGGAAAGAAAAAAAAGTGGAAAGTAATCCAGGAAAAAAATATATTCTAGTAGCTGATTCCAGTAAAGATGCTTCAACACAAGAAACTCTATTAAAATAATTAATATAACATTATGCTAAAATATTTTGACATAATTAATAAAACACTAAGAAGTCAAAGAAGAAAAATTATACCATCATATTAACAGCTGCCAGCATGTTATTTAATAAAATTGAAGGCTATTTAAAAAGATATGTGATCATCTAAGCCAATATCACTTAACAGTGAAACAATGAAGAGGAGACATTCTCAAAGTCAGGAACAAGAATGGAAGCCTACCATATCCCTGCTATACCCTTACTTTTCTACAAATTCCAGTGAATGAAACAAGATGTTTCTCTCTTTAAAAAATATTAAAAAATGAGTTACATATGTTGGAATGCAGAAGACAAATTTGTCATTATTTGAAAGTAATAGGATTGCCTATTAGAAATCTTCAGAAAAATTTTGAAAATATTTCCAAAAATTGGGATTGAGGCCTGTGGGGACACTAGATCTACAGAGTGGTTTTTCTGAGACTTTTTCCCATAAAGAATGTGACATGCTATCGGATTTCAGAAACAAACTTTATATATCCATGAGCAAAAAGTAAAGCAAGCAAAAAGGATTTGATCACAGAGAATAATGGAGACCTGAATTCTAGTTCAGCCTGCCTATGGATGATCATCATACCATACAGCTGTGCAACTGGCAAAGCATCTTAATCCTCACATTAGCCACATGAGGTTGCATATAGACACGGCAGGTTCTACTATTTGTACTTGTTGCACAAAAGAAAGCCCATCTTTCTAGAGATTAAAAGTCTTTTTTCATATGTTTACTGGCTGCATAAATGTCTTCTTTTGAGAAGTGTTTGTTCATATTCTTTGCCCACTTTTTGATGGGGTTGTTTGATTTTTTCTTGTAAATTTGTTTAAGTTCCTTGTAGATTCTGGATATTAGCCCTTTGTCAGATGAGTAGATTGCAAAATATTTCTCTCATTCTGTAGGTGGCGTGTTCACTCTGATGATAGTTTCTTTTGCTGTGCAGAAGCTCTTTAGTTTAACTAGATCCCATTTGTCAATTTTGGCTTTTGTTGCCATTGCTTTTGGTGTTTTTAGTCATGAAGTCCTTGCCCATGCCTATGTTCTGAATGGTATTGCCTAGGTTTTCTTCTAGGGTTTTTATGGCTTTAAGACTTACATATAAGTCTTTAATACATCATGAGTTAGTTTTTCTATAAGGTGTAAGGAAGGGGTCCAGTTTCAGTTTTCTGCATATGGCTAGCCAGTTTTCCCAACACCATATATTAAATAGGGAATCCTTTCCCCATTGCTTGTTTTTGTCAGGTTTGTCAAAGATCCGATGGTTGTAGATGTGCAGTGTTATTTCTGAGGCCTCTGTTCTGTTCCATTGGAAATGCAAATCAAAACCACAATAAGATACCAACTCATGCCCGTTAGAATGTTGTTCATTAAAAAGTCAGGAAACAACACATGCTGGAGAGGATGTGGAGAAATAGGAACACTTTTACACTGTTGGTGGGGGTGTAAATTAGTTCAACCATTGTGGACGACAGTGTGGCAATTCCTCAAGGATCTAGAACCAGAAATACCATTTGACCCCACAATACCATTACTAGGTATATACCTAAAGGATTATAAATCATGCTACTATAAAGACACATGCACATGTATGTATAGTGCAGCACTGTTCACAATAGCAAAGACTTGGAACCAACCCAAATTCCCATCAATGATAGACTGGATAAAGAAAATGTGGTACATATAGACCATGGAATACTATGCAGCCATGAAAAAGGATGAGTTCATGTCCTTTGCAGGCACAAGGATGAGGCTGGATATCATCATTCTCAGCAAACTAATACAGGAACAGAAAACCAAACACCACATGTTCTCACTCATTAGTGGGAGTTGAACAATGAGAACACATGGACACAGGGAAGGGAACATCATACATGGGGGCCTATTGAGGGTGGGGGGCTAGGGGAGGGATAGCATTAGGAGAAATACCTAATGTAGTTGATGGGTTGATGGGTGCAGCAAACACCATGGCATGTGTATACCTATGTAACAAACCTGCACGTTCTGCACATGTATCCCAGAACTTAAAGTATAATAATAAAAAAAAGAGTAAACACAGGTGTATATATATATATATAAATTTATAAAAAAATATATATTTTATAAATATATATATTTACCTTTATATATATATTTACCTTTATATATATTTACCTTTATATATATGTATATTTACCTTTATATATATATTTATATATATAATATATATATTATATATAATTTATATATTTATATATAAATATATTTTATATATATTATATATAATATATATTATATATATAAATATATATAATATATATAATATATATTATATATATAATATATAATATATATATTATATATTATATATATAATATATATTATATATATTATAATATATAATATATTTATATATATAATATATATTATATATAAAGGTAAATATACATATATATAAAGGTAAATATATATATAAATATATATATTTATATATAATATATATAAATATATATATTATATATAATATATATATTTATATTATATTTATATATATAAAGGCTTTATATATATTTATATATATAAAGGCTTTATATATATATTTATATATATAAAGCCTTTATATATATATTTATATATATATATAAAGGCTTTATGTATATATTTATATATATATAAAGGCTTTATGTATATATTTATATATATATAAAGGCTTGCCTGAGGTCACAAAGCCTGTGAGTGGCAAAACCTAGGGTTGAACTCCAGCCTCCTGGTACAAAATCCAGGGTCTTGCCACTACATCACTGCATTAGTCTGGACCAAAAATTTCACTTCTCTAAGGACTCAGTTCCCTCATTTCTGCAATACACAGCCACTATCACTCCAGTCCTTCTGGGTCTAAATTCTTTCTGTTTTATAATACATATTTTTAAAAATGTTTAAATAAATTAGAAATCAAATTATCAATGAAGCTTTATACCCTATGTCTTTATAAAAAAGCGTTACTAAATTTAAAAAATATTATGTGTATTCCTTCTTTGGAATTTTTAAGACTAGTAGCCTAATGAAAATCTTCTAATTTCAAGTTTATATTACCAAAACCTAGCTGGCTTTATTGCCAGACTAATTATGTGGTACACAATAAGTCATCACAACACTTGTCTGAGCAAATAAAGCACTTTTTAATATCTCACCACATCCTAAATCTCAAAATCTGACCAAAAGCCCAGAGTTGATTCTACATTTGTGTCTTTGGGTCACATTGTTTCCTCACCTGGGAATTATTTCCCTGACATTCCACATATTTCAATGCTGTGTCTCCTTAAAGACTCTCCTCACTTTCTGCTATAACCTCAAACAAAACAACTAAAACCTCTTTGACCAGCTCCTCCTCTAAAAGCCTCAAAATGCCCAGAGAACTCATGGTCTTCTCCTAAAGGACATGACTGTATTCACTACCAAGCAGATATTTGTCTATTTATGACCACAGAGAATTGTTTGTACCCACTTGTCTTCAGAGAGAAGGAAATATCTAGTTATTTTGCATTCAATATACTATTATATTATCACCAATCCCTTGAAGTGGCAATAAGACAATTATTCAGCATTTCATAGATTATGCCATCAAATTATTTTATAGCCATTGTCCTCAGCAAACTAATGCAGGAACAGAAAAGCAAACACCACACTTATAAGTGGGAGCTGAACAATGAGAACACATGGACACAGGGAGGTGAATCACACACACTGGGGCCTGTGGGGCTTGGTTGAGGTGGGGAGTGAGGGAGAACATTAGAATAAATAGCTAATGCATTCTGGGCTGAATACCTAGGTAATGGGTTGATAGGTGCAGCAAACCACCATGACACATGTTTACCTATGTAACAAACCTGCACATCCTGCACATGTATCCCGAAACTTAAAATAAAATAAAATAGAAATCCTACTATTTTATATTTCTCCAGGTGAATTACCTGATCTTTTACTGAGAAATATATCCTTAAGCACAGTTCTTTAAGGAAAACTAAAGGACCAAGTTTATTTACCAAATTTCTCATGTACATACATATTTTAATATAAAACATTATTTTAGTATAAAATTATAATGTATGTATAAGAAGTATTAAGGTAATATAAAATTTATACAGAATACTTTTAAAGTAGAGATTCTTAAATTATTTCATATTGCTATATTATGGGCAAGATGGAATATCTAAAATATTCTAATAGGTGAGGCATGAAATACACCTTATGGTTTTTGGAAAAGCTCAACTTTATACTTCCCTTAGGCTTACATTTGAGTATGTCACTTAGAAAGGAGTCAGTTGAATTTAATGAATATTCTTGCCTGAAAATTTTCTGCTGGCTGCTATAATCATAGACACTTTAAATTTTTTTTAAGGCGGGAGAAGATAGCTACACAACACGTGAAACAAACCAAGGAGGCTGTATATGTATGAAGAATGTAGTTAATTGTTGAAATAAAAAGCAAAGTGCTATCTTCAAATAGAATTTTATCTAAAGTGGCCATGGATCCCAATATTCTACTTGCAGAACCAGCAAGTAGCAGATACCAGAGAGATGCGTAATAGTTTGGAAGAAATAAGGACAAAAAAAGGCACTAGATTTGGACTTTTAAGACCCAATTTTCAGGAGCGATTTTTTTTTTTTTTTTTTTTTTTTTTTTTTGAGACGGCATCTCGCTCTGTCGCCCAGGCTGGAGTTCGGTGGCATGATCTCGGCTCACTGCAAGCTCCGCCTCCCAGGTTCACGCCATTCTCCTGCCTCAGCCTCCCAAGTAGCTGGGACTACAGGCGCCCGCCACCACGCCCGGCTAACTTTTTGTATTTTTAATAGAGACGGGGTTTCACCTTGTTAGCCAGGATGGTCTCGATCTCCTGACCTCGTGATCTGCCCGCCTCAGCCTCCCAAAGTGCTGGGATTACAGGCATGAGCCACCACGCCCTGCATATTTCTAGGAGAGATTCTAACGATGTAATAGCTGTGTAAACTTCTATGTAAACTTCTTTAAAGATCAGTTTTCACATCTATAAAATGATTCCCATAAGACCTTCTATTATCTGACATGGTAAGATGCAAGATGTATTACATATAATAATGTATATAAAAGCATTTTGTAAATTATAAAGAACCATATAATTATTCAAAACACTTCTTGCTTGTTTATAATTGCGAAATAATATTTTGTCAAAGAAAATAAGAAATGCAAATTTTTTAAAAAAGAAAAAAATCAAATTACAAATAATTCTATCATCCAATAATCATTACTATTTCAGAGTGTAACTTTGCAGTTTTTCTTCTATATGCATGTATACACATAAATATCTTTTTAAATTTTGAGTTATGCTACACTTAGTGAGTTAGAAGTTTTTTTTAATATAGTAATATACTACACAGATTTAAGTCATCATTAGATATAAATGACAGTGGGTTACATATTTAAAGTTTTTCACATTCAAAACCAGCATTTGTGGGCTCAGATAAATAAAACAAAGAGAAAAAGTGTGTAGTGAAGAGACAACTTGACAATGAAAATCTCTCTAAAATCTCTGAATGCATAACACAGAGAGTCCCCAAGATTAGGACCTCCCTGCTTTTTCAGTGGGAACTATCTGAACTTCTTTGTCTTTTCATTGACAAGGGTAGCTCACCTTCAGACTTCATCTTGGAATCCAGTGAAGGAAGGGAAAGGGTAGTGGGTGCTGTGATGTCTGCTTATATTCCATCTTCAGGTGGAAGTACCCATCCCCCAGCAACTGAGGCTATCTGCTACTGATGCTTCAGAGCTCCCTGCTCACATGCAAAGGCCCTTGGCCAGGAACCACCTCACCCAGAGATGGCGCCAAGCTGATAATTGGCTAATAAAAGGCCAAAAGTTGGCCTGTTTCCTCAAATGGAAAAATTCTGAAAGGCCTTCCTCATTTCCATATAGGGGTATCTCCAGAGAACTCTTCCAAGGAACAAATTTTCTCTTAATTTACTCAACTTTCCATCTCAGAGCTGTTTGCAGACACCCCATGACAACACCACATCCAGCAAAAACGGCAAAAAAGGCCTAAAAGTGATTCAGTTATAGAAAGAAAAAAGAAACTTTTGTGGCTGGTTCTGAAAGTAATAGAAGGCTGGGATCCAGGGCCAATTTAGATAAAATTCTATTGGTAGACAGCACTTTGCAGGTTACTAAAGACTTTCACATATATTATCTTAGTTGAAATTCACAACAGCCTGGTAAGATGTGTTTTATTTTTTCATTTTTTATTTATAATATTTGTGTGTACATAGTAGATGTATGTATTTGTAGGGTGTATTAAATGTTTTGATACAGGCATGCAATGTGAAATAATCACATCGTGGAGAATGGGGTATCCATCCCCTCAAATGTATATCCTTTGTGTTATACAAATAATCCAATTACACTCTTTTCATTATTTTAAAATGTACAATTAACATATTATTGACTATAGTCCCTCTGCTGTGTGATCAAATAGAATGCTTTAAGATGTGTTTTATTATCTCCATCTTATAATTTAAGCATCTAAGAAAAGTAGATTGCATAGCATGATTTATGGAATGATAGTCCCTCAAAAATGCCTTCTGTAACCCATAGACTCTCTGAAACTTTTTATTTATCAGATACCTATAGAAGAGTTAAGTAAATATTAGTCATTAATTTCTTTAGTGTAAATTATCTTGCTTTTCCCATAGCTTCGGACATGTAGTTTCCATGACAATTTGTGGAAGATTAAATGATACTGGAAGAGTCAGGAGTAAAGGGAATATGAGAGGATAATTTTCTCTCCCCAACTGCCTTATTTCATAAATGGGCCCACCCTCCACCTCCAATCAAAATCTCCCACTGCACTCCATCTCATCCCATGCTCCTAGCCAACTTCAAGCTATTCCTCAAATAAGCCCAGCTCCCACACATTTCACACAATAGTTTGAGTTTTCCTACCTGGAAAGTACTTCATAACTCTTTGTGTTTGGAAAACTCCTATTCATCCTTCAAGATCCATTTCAAGAATTCTATGGCTTTTTCCTTCCTAGATTTCAAATACAGAGTTGATACCTTATTTCACCTGTTTATATCCCTTATTTTACCTCTCTGTTTTTTGTTTGTGCTGCTGTAATGGCTCTGGAAGCATGGTCTTGTATTTATCTGGTTTTATATCTAACTCCACCACTGGACTATGACTACAGAACTGTATTTAATTCTGTGTATAAAGATTTTGGGTTCCCAGAGTTTTGCTCAGTTTCTGGTAGGTTAGTGGTTTATCAATAAATGTTTACAGAGTACATGAATAAATAGTAACTTGACTGGGTAAAAAGTCATAGAATGATTGGATAGAGGCAGTTTAAAGGAATTAACTGGGTTTTGAAAGGTAAGTAAGAATGTTAGAATGATAAAATTTTATCTTTCCATACATTTAGCTTTATTAAATAGTTAATAAAGTAGTTTGGAATTTTCACATTAAAATTATAATGCATCTGAATTTCATAAGGTAGAAGGATAAAGAAAGGGGAGCATAAAATGTTCAAGTCAGAAAACAACAGATGGTGCTTCTGTTCATAGGGCTGTGGGACTTTCACCTTATATACCAATAGTCAGACAATGGCAGTGACTGGTTTACTAGAATTTGCCTCATATAAAGGCAATTGTTTTAGCAAGTTCACTGAGATATGGGGCAAGATGGCTGACTGGATGCAGCTAGTATGCACTGCTTCCAAGGATAGGAACCAAAATGGCAAGTGGATATTCACATTTTGAATAGACCTTCTATGACAGAACACTGGAATTCAACAGAAAAGTTAAAAGAAGCATGAAAAGCAAAAAAAAAAAAAAAAAAAAAAAGAAAGGGAAACAAAGCAGCCTTCTTGGCCACGATCCACTGGGAGCCAGGTGAAGATCTCAGATACGTAAAGAGAGTAAGTGAGAGACCTCAAGGGCTCCACATTCCCACCATGGACTTTTACAATCCTAGCTGTGAGAGAGCCCTTTGACCCTCATGGGTCCTGAGACTAACAAAGGGAGTTGCTAAACATTGCACAAAGGCATTGACCCAGAGGGGGAACTCATGGTGAGTCCCACAGGTTTCCAAGACCTGAGCAACTGCAACATGGTGCCATTCTGAGAGCTTAGTCCCAAGAGGACTATGTTATGCCCTGAGGCCAATACTTCTGATGCTGCCAATTCCACTGATGCTGCTTTGGGATGCAGGACCAAGGTGCAAGCAAACCAAGCTATGCCCCATAGCTACCTTCCTATGCTGTCTGACTGACAGTGGCCACACCCTCTCTGGTGGCAGGTCTGCAGTGCAGCTGCAGCTGCTCCCACCTAAGCATACTGCCAGTGACATGGTGACCACCTTGCTCCTGCCTATCATGGCCAACACTTGAAGTACTACCAAGAGGCCTGAGGACACATCCACCAGCCCAGTCCTGTCTCCCTAGTACTTCAGCACAACATCCAGGCACCTGGGAATTGCCCAATCCAGCCCGGCACCATTGAAACCTGAGCACTCTTCCTGGAGTCTGAGGTCAGGCTGACCCAAACTATCAATGCCACCATAGCAGGAACCCACCTACACAAGTTACCTGTGGGCCAGAAGACTGCCCCACTTAACTCATTGCAGCCACTGCCAAGATCAGCATCAACTGCTTGGGTTTCAGTGGGTTGCCCCACCACAACTACTGCCATTGCTGACATCATGCCCACTGCTTAGGGGCCAGAGAGCCCACCCACACACCTGGCCCAGCACTGCCACTACTGGCATCTGGGTAAGCTGCCTCGAGGCCCAAGAATCAGCCCACCTGGACCCCTAACACCAGAGCCAACATACTCTCTTCTGGGGATCATTAACAGGTACATTCAGCTTAATGCTGTCACCACAGGGGCCAAAAGACTGACCCAACTAGCATCCAACTCTCCAATAGAACTTCACCACAGCTTCCATGAATAACCCCATCCTAAGCCACTAAAGAAATCACAGATATAACTGAACTATATACATCCAAAGAAATCATATAGAGACTATATTTCTGCAGGACTAAAAATCAAAGCCAAAGTGCCCTACCCAGTGAACACCATAGATACCTCTTCAGGAAAACGTCATACCCTATGAAAACAAATTTTAAAAATTGGAATGCAACTGTTACAACAGATGTGCTGATATCAAAGTAAGGACACAATGAACATGAAAAGGGAAGAAAATATAAAACCTCCAAAGGAACAGAATAATTCTACACCAACAGATTTCAATCACAAGGAAAGTCACAAATTCTCAGATAAAGAATTAAAAATATTGATCTTACAGAAGCTCAGTGAAATGCAAGAGAAATATGAAAAACAATACAGAGAAATCAGAAAAACAATTCAGGATATGAATGACAAGTTTACCAAAGAGATAGATGTTTTTAAACGAACCAAACAAATCCTGGAACAAAAAAATTTATCAAATGAAATACAAAATATACTTGAAAACTTCAATAGACTAAATCAGGCAGAAGAAAGAATTTCAGAACATGAAGGCAGGTTTTTTGGAAAAAAAAGAATTAAAAAGAATGAGTAAAGACTTCAAGATATTTGGAAGAACATAAAGCAATAGAATACTCGAATTATAAGTGTCCCCAAAGAGAGAACAAAAGTGTTAGAAAACCTATTTAACAAAATAATAGATGAAAACTTCCCAAGCCTAGCAAGAGACTTAGATATTTAGATACAGGAAGCACAAAGATCCCTAAAAAGATGCAATGCAAAAAGGTCTTCTCTACAGTACATTATAGTCAAACTGTCCACAGACAGCTTCAAAGAGAGGATTCTACAAACAAGAGAGAAGCATCTAGTCATCTATTTTCTAACAAATCATCAGAATAAAAGCAGATTTCTCAGAAGAAACCTTAAAGCCCAGTAGAGAATAAAATGACATACTGAAAGTGCTGGAAAAAAACCTGTCACCCAAGGATATTATTTCCATTAAGATTATTCTTCATGAATGAAGGAGAAATAAAGTCATTCTCAGGCAAGCAAATGCTGAGGGGATGAATCACCACTAGAACAGACCTATGAGAAATACTCAAGGGATTCCTAAACTTGAAAGAACAACATTTACCATAGTGACAACACAAAAAAGTATAAAACTCACTGGTAAAGCAAACACACAAATGAGAAAGACAATGGACTCAAATGGTGCCACTATAGAAAACCACCAACCACAATGACAAACAATAAGAGAAAAAGAAAGGAACAAAGAAAATACAAAACAACAGAAAATAATTAACAGTATGACATTACCAAAACCTCAAATATCAATAATAATCTTGAATGTAAATAGATTAAACTCTCCACTTAAAATATATAGACTGGCTGAATGAATGACAAAATGTGATTCAACTTTATGCTGCTTAAAAGAAACACACTTCACCTATAAAAATACATATAAACTCAAAGTAAAGGGATAAAAAAGATATTCCACAAAAATGGAAACCAAAAGTGAGCAAGGTAGCTATACTTACAGAAAATAAAATAGACTTTAGGTAAAAAAAAAAAAAGTGAAAAAAAAGTGAAAAAAAAAGATAAAGAAGGTCACTATGTAATGTAATGATAAAGGGAAAGAACAATCCAGCAAGAGGATATAACAATTCTAAATATATATGCACCCAACGCAGGACCACAATGATTCATAAAGCAAACATTATTGGATTTAAAGAGAGAGAGATAGCCTCCAATATAGTAATAGTAAGGAAATTCAACACCTCACTTTTGCATTAGACAGATCATCTAGACAGAGATCTAGAAAACCAATAGAGAAATATGAGATTTAAACTGGACTTTAGAGCAAAAGGAACTAATGGACATTTATAGAAAATTCTATCCAACAACTGCAGAATATATACTGTTTTCGTTAGCACATAGAACATTCTCCAAGATAGACCATGTATTAGGCCACAAAACTAGCCTCAACAATTTTTTTAATTTTAAATTATATCAAGTACCTTCTAAGACCACAATAAAACAAAGCTATAAATTAATACCAAGATTAACTTTGGAAACTACAAATGCATGGGAATTAAACAACATGTCCTCAAAGACCATTTGAACAATGAAGACATAAAGATAGAAATCAAAAAATTTCCCGAAACAATTGAAAATGGAAACATAACATACCAAAACCTGAGGGACACAACAAAAGCAGTGCTAAGAGGAAAGTTTATATTAATAACCCCCTGCCTACATCAAAAAAGCAGAAAGATTTCAAATAACCTAACAATGTACCTCAAGGAACCAGAAATGCAAGAATAAACATAACCCAAAATTTGCAGAAGGAAAGAAAAAATAAAAATCAGAGTAAAATCAAATGAAATAAAGACTAAAAAAAATTACAAAGGATCAGCAAAAAAGTTGGTTCCTTAAAAATATAAACACAATTCATAAATCACTATCTAGATTAACCAATAAAAAGAGGCAGAAAGCCCTAACAAACAAAATCAGAAAGGAAAAATGAGACATTGCAACATATACCACAGAAATACAAAAGATAATCAGAAACTATTAGGAATAACTATTTATTAACAAACTGAAAATCTAAAGGAAATGGATAATAAATTCCTGGAAACACAACCTACCATGATTGAATCAGGAAGAAATCGAAAACCTGAACAGACCATTATGAATAACAAGATTGAGTTAGTCATAAAATATCTCCCAACAAAGAAAAGATGAAGACCAGATGTGTTCCCAGCTGATAGCGACCAAATGTACAAAAGATAAACATAACCAATTCTCCTGAAGCTATTCCAAAAAATTAAAAACAAGTGAATTCTTTCCTACTCATTTTATGAGGCCAGCATCATTCTGATAACAAACCCAGACAAGGACACATAAATGAAGAAAATGACAGGCCAATATACCTGATGACCCCAGATGCAAAAATCCTTAACAAAATACTAGCAAACCAAATCCACCAGCACATCATAAAACACCATAATCAAGTGGGATTTATCCCAGATATGCAAGAATGGTTCAACATATGCAAAACTACTGATATGAACCACCACATCATCAGAATGAAGGATAAAAATGACATGATCATCTCAATAGATGCAGAAAAAGCATTTAATAAAATTTGACATTGCTTCATGATAAAAACCATCAACAAACTATAAATAGAAGGAACATACCTCAAAATAATAGACTAAGTAAGACAAACCTACATCTAACATCATAGTGAATGAGGAAAAGCTGAAATCCTTTCCTCTAACATCTGGAACACAACAAGCACGTCCATTTTTACCACTCCTATTCAACATAGTACTGGAAGTTCTAAACAGAACAGTTAGGCAAGAGAAAAGAAAAATAAAAGAGGTTTAATTGGAAAGGAAGAAGGAAGATTGTCCCTCTTTGCTGATGATATGATGTTTTATGTAGAAAAACCTAAAGTTTCCACCAGAAACTCCTAGATTTGATAAATAAATTTTGTAAAGCTGCAGAATACAAAATCAATATACAAAAACCAGTAGCATTTCTATACACCAATAATAAACCAGTTGAGAAAGCAATCAAGAAGGCAAACATATTTATGATAGCTACAAAAATATACTTAGGAAAAAATTTAACCAAGGTTAAAGATCTCTACAAGAAAAATTTCAAAACACTGACAAAAAGTTAAAGAGGATGCCCCCAAAATGGAAAGATAACCCATGCTCGTGGAATAGAAGAATTAATATTATTAATATTAAAATGATCATATTGAATAAAGCAATCTACAGATTCAATGTGATTCCTATGAAATACTAAAGTCATTATTCATAAAATTAGAAAAAACAATTATGAAATTCATGTAAAATGAAGAAAGAGGCCAGGCGCAGTGGCTCACTCCTGTAATCCCAGCACTTTGGGAGGCCGAGGCGGGCAGATCACGAGGTCAGGAGACAGAGACCATCCTGGCCAACATGGTGAAACCCCATCTCTACTAAAAATACAAAAAATTAGCCAGGCGTGGTGGCGCACACCTGTAGTTCCAGCTACTTGGGAGGCTGAGGCAGGAGAATCACTTGAACCCGGGAGGCAGAGGTTGCAGTGAGCCAAGATCACGCCATTGCATTCCAGTCTGGGTGACAAAGCGAGACTCCATCTCAAAAAAAAAAAAAAAAAAAAGAAGAAGAAGAAGAAGAAAGATCCTAAGAGCCAAAGCAATCCTGAACAAGAACAAAGTAAAAGGCATTACACATTACACTACCTGCCTTCAAAATTTATTAAAAGGCTGTAGTAACCAAAACAGCATGGTATTGGTCTAAAAATAAATATAGACTAATGGAATAGAAAACAGAACCCAGAAATAAATCCACGTATTTACAGTCAACTAATCTTTGACTAAGCTGACAAGAAATTACTTTGGGGAGAGGACACCCTCTTTAATAAATGATGCTGGAGAAACTTAATAGCCACATGAAAATGGAACCTTCTCTCACTGTGTACAAAAATCAACTCAAAATGGATTAAAGATTAAATGTAAGCTCTAAAATTATAAAACTACAAAAAAAAAAAAAAAAACCTAAGGAAAACTCTCCTAGACATTGGTCATCTAGACAAATAATTTATGGTTAAGACTTCAAAAGCACAGGTGACAAAAACAAAAGTAGATAAATGGAACTATATTAAACTAAAAAGCTTATGCACTGCAAAAGAAGTAATCAACAGTGAAGGGACAAGCTGCAGATATGCTCTCCAGCCTTCTCTGCTCTGCTCTGTGCCCAGGAGGCTGACCTCTATGCCTTGTGATCCTATTTGGCTTTGCCAGCAAGAAGCACTAGTAGCTGATCAGAGAATGGAAGGAAAGAGAGATGGGGCACTCCTCCCTGTGAAGTGCAGGTTAGCAGTAGCTACATTCCTCAGCCTAAATTCACAGCTCCTCTCTGGTCCTCCTCTCCTTCAGCTGCAGTAACCACTCCGTTTCCTGCTGAGATCCTAAGTGATACAAGTAATAAAGCAGAATACTACTTTAGAAAATTTTCTTCCCTGCTTCCTTCCTGCTAGACTTTAATTATCTGTTCATATACTATTCCAGCTTATTAGGGAGAAACAGTTCTTTTGAGAAGTAGCCACATTTCTCAAGCATTAAGGACTCTAAATTATATTTGTTTGGTACCTATCAAGCATCACAGTCCCCTGATTACTAGATATGACTATAGTAATGTGCATTTATTGGGCAATCACCAAATGGTTGTTGGTTTCATACAGTGAAATCTAACCTAAGCAATTTCTGTGATTATTTTATGATCCCAATTACCTCAGTAATGTTACCTGAGGCAAAAAAAAGAAAAAAAATTAACAAAAAAAATCATATTATCAATCAAATAGAAAAGAACTCAAAAGCTTTTGAAATTTCTAGGACCACCTTTGGGAATAATCAGTGAAATTGAATAAAGCAGCTATATAGAAAAGAGGTCACAATTTTTAATCAAATACAAGTCTAGTAACTGCATATTTTTACTAATGAACAGCATTTAGTCTTTTCTTAAGGAATAAATTAACTTTATATGTGTTTTAAGAAAATTTCTTAAACAGGTGGCTTTAACTACAACATATATTTTCCATCTCATGTATCTGTGTATTTACAAAATTAGAAATGTCCATCTTAAAATATTTTAGTAATTACTACAACTAAATTGGAAAGGAAAATAATACATAAATAAGGCAAATAGTGTTATTCCACAGCAAATTCAAATAAACATTAAATTGTTTTCCTTACTTATTGTGTTTACCAGCTAAGTTATAAAAATTTATTTGTACAACATAAAAATACAAAACTTGTGGAAATTGAATCTTGCAGAAATTTGTTTAACTTTTCATTATGTAAATCAAAGAAGCAGAGCACCTACAGCTTTGACAAATGAAGATTAAGTACCCTATTTGTGTTGGTTAGTTCACTCTTTCACAAACCACAATCCTGAAAAAAATGAGAGGGGCCGCATTCCAGGTGGAAAAACAAACCCTTTTAAAGCCAGAACAAATTTGACCCTAATCTACTCGACCACAACTTTGCCTCACTGAGAAAGGCTGAATGATAAACGGGTTAGTAAAACCAAACCTATCAGAAAATGTGTTATACCCAACACTGAAGAGAATGACAAGGACATAAACCATCTGGACTGTGGTGGAAGCTCATAACCTCTTCTATGTGTTATCAGAAGTTATACTTAATAACTTTATGGGAAAGTACTCAAGCTGACCTTAAAATACGAGAAAAGTTAAGAGACATTCTCTCCTCTTGGTCCTGGAAAAATATGATGCTCCAGCTTGTAAAGTATAATTAAGCTATTAACAAATATGACAATAAAAATCTTCAGAATAAGAAACAGTGCTCATTTGGAGTCACTTAAAAAGCAGATTTTCCTACACATTGGAATCTGACTCATAATACAAAAAGAAAAAATTCTTACAGAAAAAAGCTATAAAAATTCTCAAAATCCAAGAATATAAATTTTAAAGGTAGATGATTACAATAAATACTAAAGCTTGTGAAAATTAATGTATAGATACATTCAAATATCAAGTTGAAAAAACATTTATTCTGAGAGAAAATGTTTTGAAACTCCCAATTACAATGCATTATTCATTTTCTCTCAACCTATGATCATGAAAAGCAAAGTTCTTGGAGAGTCACTAAAATTGTTTCATGAAGATATATTTTTAAATAATATTTATCATTTGATAAGTAAATGGTTTTTGAATTTTAAATTATAGAAAAATATAAAAAAGAAAATAAAAATTATCCATAATAAGCCAACCAAAGACAGCAACTCATTATGTTTTGGTACTGACTATACATTTGATTCCTGTCTTATTATTTAACATATGTCATCAGTATTTTTCTGTGACTTAGATGTGTCATAATTTAGCAATTAGAAATAACACCTTAATTTGAATACTTTTGATTAAAGTTTTGTCTGCATTTTGAAAATCTCCTTACTACTGAGTTGTAATACTGAAAAAAGGAAAACTTTAACACTTGAGAGAGACACACGATGGTTAAGGTTTTAGAATGAAAAGTCCCTTGTTGTCTAAAAATATTATTTATTCCATGGTTTTAGATTTCAAAATTTTCAAAAAAAATACTGAAAATTCTGAACAACTCTCATAAGAACAAAGTTTGTAGGGTAATTGAAACAGGGTTTTAAAAAGCCTTTTAATTGAATATTATTTTTGAATTATATATTGGCTACTCTCGACAAAGAAAAATTGCACTGGATAAAGTAAAACATAAAAGAAAGACTTTATTTAAAACTAATGCAAAATGAATCAGAGATTAAATTCAATACCCCTGAAACAAAAGAAGAAGAGTTCTTAGGCACTGGAATGAGCTAGTGAAAAAGTACTGAAGGACCTTAGAGGGGAGGTTAGTCCATGTCATTAGGCAATCTGTGTTTGTTACATTGGAAATCAGGCTCCTACCTCTGAGAGAGAATGAGAGATAGAAACACTATCTTTCTTGATGATTTCATTTCAAAGGGATGACTCCCAGTTTTTTTCAGAAAGACAGCCCCTCACTTCCTCCAGCCTCAGGAAAGTGTAGATTTACATCTCAATGGGGCAAAGAAAGAATTTACAATTATAGGTTTTCTAAAGTAAACTCCCTAAGAAGAGTAAGATCAGGCCTGGAGTCAGGAATAAAGGACATTGCCCATTGTACTAGATGGCTGGTTTTATGGACACAAAACCCCAAGAAGAAATTATCTTTCTTATATAATGACTACAATTTCCTGTTTGCTTTTCTTATGACTAATAAGACACTCAACAGCCGTTGTTGACTGAATTCTTCTAAAGATGTGTAAATACATCCAGATACCAAGCACTTCATTCATTTTTTCTCACGATCTCACAAGTCCCAGCTACTTGAAATAAATCCCTGCAAATGACCCCACAGGTTTGCAATGTGAGTGAGTAATGAACCTTCAGTGTAACAAGCTCTAAAACTTTGGGAGGTTTTTGTTACTCGATTATACCCACCTCCCTCCTTTCCCAACTAATTTACCCTGAAAGAACTCGTTGAAATTTACACAGTGTACAAAAGAAGGAAGACAAACACCTTTCAACCTGAAAAACAAATTTCCAGTAATTTTCAACTACAAGCACCACGTTATTTCTAAATTTAATTATTTAGCCCAGTAAAATCTAGAACAAAATGTCTATTGTCAACAGCTAGTAATTACCCATAACTCAGTGAATAGATCTTTATCACAGAAAAAAAACAGAAATAGTTGTATATAGGAATAAATGTTGGAGGAAAAAAGAACACAAAATTCCATTTTTACATTTAGAGTCAATACGTCAATAAATTGCTTAAAATTTCTCTATTTAAGGACCCATATTCGTGCAAGTAAAACTTATTTTACTTAAAATAGGCTGATTAATGGCATTTTCCCTAACAAACTTTAATACTTCTTTAATCTGTAGAAGTTTTAATCAGTTAAAACGTGAATAAAGTCTCTTGAAGTATTTTGAAAATATTAAGAACTTTGCCCAAGCTTCTATTCCTTTTTTTGAAGGGCAGGGACAGAGTCTCTCTCTGTCGCCCACACTGGAGTGCAATGGCATGATTTCAGCTCACTGCAAACTCCGCCTCCTGTTTTCAAGCGATTCTCCTGCCTCAGCCTCCTGAGTAGCTGGGATTACAGGCGTGTGCCACCATGCCTGGTTAATTTTTGTATTTTTAGTAGAGACGGGGTTTCACCATGTTGGTCAGGCTGGTTTTGAACTCTTGACCTCGTGATCCACCCGCCTCGGCCTTCAAAAGTGCTGAGATTACAGGCATGAGCCACCGCATCCGGCCCACATATCTATTTCTACAGTAGACAATTATCTTAGAATATTTGTATCCAACCACATGACAATTTACCCATTTTCCCATCTTTATGACTTTAGTTTTACATAAAATTTGTATGATCTTTTGAAATTTGCCATTAAGAGAGTAAAAACATGCTACAAAATACTGCATAGTAGCATACACACATAGCCTTTTAGCAACCATGTCTTTTTAAAATCCCTTCACTGGTTTCTGGTACCTTTTTAAAAAGCCTACTTTGATTCATTATCACAACATGGCTAGTGAGAGATATAACTTGCCCTTTGAAAAAAGAAAACTATGGTTTTTAATGATCTGAAAATGACAAACCTCTGAGAAGTCCAAAACCATGGCAACCCTATGTAAAGTACTAATTATACCTTAAATTCAAGAGCATTCATCATCTTCTCCCCAAAAGCCTTTACTTTGACTATGTCCCCATCTTTACAAATGGCATTGTCATTTTTCCAGTTACCTAGGTTCTCAACCTCAGAGTTATTTTGTGATCACCCTCTCAAATCAAGGCTCCAAGTCCCATTAAGCCTAAATCCATTATGTTCTTTCCCCAATCCAAAATATATTACTGTAAGAACTATCTCTCTAAAACAAAATACAAATTGAAAGTACAATACTGTATCACTATACACCCACCAGCAAGATAAAAATTTTAAAATATATATGTATATACACCAAGTGTGTCAATAATGTGGAAAAGACAAAACTCTCATACGATTCTGGTGGGAGTATAAGTTGGTATGTGTTTGAAAGTCAGTTTTTACTAGAGCTGAATATGTGCATATCCCAAGACCCAGAAATTTCACTCCTACGAATATTCCCAAAATAGCAGAATATGTTCTCACAAATGTAACTTGTCCTCTCAGATAAGAATAACAGAAAAACAGAAGTAGCCATTTCTAACTAGACTTCTAAAAGGACACAGAAACATACTTTGTATTTCTTTGACGAACTCATAACTATAATGTAATTAATAAAAAATACAGTTAGATGAAATTGTAATAAGCTGAATTAAATTTCCATCAAATTGTATACATTTAATTTAACTTAACAATAAGGGCATTAACCAATAATTATTTATTTTAGTGCCCTCTGCCTTTCCTGTTGGCGTTGTGACAACTGTTCAGTCCATTATAGCTGCATTCTTTGTGCTCACTCATTCTTTATTTTTATACATTTTTCCAGTGGGTTTTTTTTTTTGCCTTAATGTTTTCATTACAATTTATTTCTACATTAATGTAGAATATAAATAAAGTGACTTTTTAAAGAATTTTTAAAAATAATTGAAAAGATTCAGAGGAAAAACTAATAAATGAAATGTTCTACTATAAGCAAAATTTTTATTTCTATTCTGAATAAATAAGAAAGATACTTTTTTGCAAATAAACACCTTTTGTCGTCATTTTGATTGTTACATCTTCTACTTTATTCATATGAATATAAGAACTGTTCCTGTGAGATCTTTTATTATTTAGTCTTGGCTTTAATCCTCATAAAATTAGGTGAATCAATATACAGAAGACTGGTTCCCAAGAGTCTGATGCCTATAAACAACCTGTCTGTTTTTATTTTTAACTTGAAGCTCAAATCATCTCTCATAGCTGGAATACATCAAATAATATTTGCTGTCATAATATATTTATTCATTAGTTTAAACTACTTGTGTTGAATGTAAGTTGGGCAATTTTACACATATCAATTCCCCTAATTGTGACAGGAAATCAAATAACATATGCTTTATTGCTGTGGGAAAATCCAGTATCATTTTTTTTCATCAACACATCCACTGCAAAGAATGGATTTCAGTTGTAGTACTTATTCTGACTACTTTTGTCTGTAATGAATCATTTTGAAAGTGTCGTGACATTTTGCTCTGTCAGATAATTAATCTGTACTTTTCCTAAATACTCATTGCAACTCTATGAATCATTTTATAGCTAATAAAAGATATTGTGTAACAGAAAGCCTGGAATATGTGAAGATATGTGGTGACTGTGCATGTTGGACTTAAGGCAATACACTCTGCAGGCTTACTTCAGGTGTCCTGTGTGCACCAGGGACTGCGGCTAGTGGTACACAAGAAAAGTTAAGAATAAGGAACAATCTTTGTACTTAAAAAGGTAGCATCTTAGGTTAAAAATAATAATCAATTTTAAAAAGCATGTAAAGTTTTTTATGACTTATTTGCTGTGGGAATCCAGAGCGGACAGTGATTTACTTGGAGGATTTAAGAAACCACTGGAGGTAACCCATGTGTGGAGTCTTTTTACAGGTGAATAGGGTTCTGTTGGCATGTAAGAGGGGAACAGAGATTACAAGCAGAGGAGGGGCATGATGGACCCCCCAAAACATGGAATCTCTGGAAAAGCAGAACGTTATCTTGTTCTAACACCAAATATCCCCCAAAGGACTATATTATTTTCAGTTTGTAAATCAAATAATGGGATCAGGGCACTCTAGTAATTCTGCATTTATTTGGATTGGAGGAACATTCCAAAGGAATATATCTCCTGCCAGAAAACTGAATTTATTATTAAAGCCATTAAGGCAAGGCACTTAAGCAGCAAAATTACAAAGTGTTTATGTCAGTGATCTTTGAAAGTTGCTAAAGGGCCTTTGTCTCTGCTTTTAGTAATCCAATTAAAAGCTACAGAGTTAGGCCCTATGAAAGGAAAAAAATACTTTCTTCTTTTAGTTCCAAATGTTTTCTTTTGTTCCAACCTGATATTACAAGTCTTTGTTGAATAGAGTATGATCTTATCTCTGTGTGATTTAGCCTGCATAAACAGTCAGATGAGGGTGAAGGAGAGTGGAAAGGAAGGGAAGTTATCTCCAGTACCATTTGATTAGCTATTATTTAGTCAGAATTATATATTAAAAAAAAAAGTGGCAAATGATACTAATAGCAAGTTTTCAGGTTGGATGTGGTGGCTTATGCCTATAATCCTAGTACTTTGGGAGGTCAAGGCAGGAGGATCGCTTGAGGCTAGGAGTTTGAGATCAGCCTGGACAATATAAGGAGACCCCATATCTACAAAAACTAAAAATAAATTATCCAGGCATGGGAAAGTGTACCTGTAGTCCCAGCTACTTAGGAGGCTGAGGTGGGAGGACTGCTTGAGTCCAGGAGTTCAAGGCCGCAATGAGCTATGATTATAAAACTGCACTCCAATCTGGGTGACAGAGCAAGACTCTGTCTCTAAAAAAATTTTTTGGAAAAAAATAGCAAGTTTTGAGCAATCTCCCATGGTGAAAAAGTTTTCAGTAATCTCCCATGTTGAGCAAATTTTCAGTAATCTCCCATGGTTTGTATGCAGATCAGGTTATTTTTGAATCCTCCACATATCATGCCCAATAAGATCTCACTTACTGAAATTTCAGTGATGACTGTAAAATGTGTTTGATATGTGACGTTATATGCCATTAGTAAAATTAAGGACTAGGGTATTGTCTTAGTTTATTTTGTGCTGCTATAACATGATACCACAGACTGGGTAATTTATAAAGAACAGAAATTTATTTCCTCACACTTCTGGAGGCTAGGAAGTCCAAGATTAAGGTGCCAGCATCTGCTGTGGGCCTTCTTGCTGTGTTCTCACATGGCAGAAGGCAGAAGGGCAAGAGAGGGTGAACTCACTCTTGCAAGCCCTTTTTATAGTGGCATTAATCCATTCATGAGGACAAAGCCCTCATCACCTAAATACCTCCCAAAAGCCCTACCTCCCTATATAGTTGCATTAGGGATTCAGTTTTTAACACATTATTTTGGGGGAAACATTTAGACCATAGCAGACATTTATCCAATATAGTGTACCCATAAAACATCTTTATTCTTAAACATAAAGCTATTTTAAAATTATAGAAATCAAAATGTCCATGATGACAAATTTTAATGATCATTTTCTACAGTAGGTTCACAGAGTATTCCTAAATGCGATACATTATCTACCTTTGCTGGGGATCCTTATGTTGGAAATGCTTATGTATACAGAGATGTTCAAGCCAGCACATTATATAGTATCTTCTACAATAGTATTTCACTGATTGAAACATGATACACTTCTACCTTTCTCACCTGCCTATCTCTAACATTATCTAATACCAATGGGTCCCTCATTCAGCCTCACTTGCCTTTCTTTCTATTTCTATCTTTTGAACACATTGCACAATTCCTACCTCAGGACACTTGTACTTGCTGTTTTTTTGCCTAGAAAAATCTTCAAACAGCTGGCTCATTTTCTTCCTCTCTCTCTCCCTCCTCCCTACCTCTCTGTCTGTCTGGCAGTTTCTCTTAGAAGTCAGGTGCAACATGTTGGTCTCAGCCAACAGCCAGTGTTAACCGCTAGACAAGTGAACAAGCCTTCAGATTTTTCTAGTCCTCAGCCTTTGAGCCACTCCAGCTGATGCCAATTTAAGCAGAAATAAGCTATCTCTGCCAACACCTGTCCAAATTTTGAGCAAAATAAATGTAATCATTTTAAGCCACTAAGTTTTAGGGTAATTCATTATGCAGCCATCGCAACTGGAACAGATTTTTGGTACACACATTGTAATTGTACACTTGTTATTGTATAGTGTGATTATACACATATGTGTGTACATATATGTGTTGTCAAAAGCAATATTTTGTCATATCAATATCCGTTTACTCATGTATTTTCCCTCTCCAATGTTCTTTATACTTTTCTGTAGCTTCATGCTTCCATCTGTGATTATTTCCATTGCTTAAATAATTCTCATAGTATTTCTTTCATTTGAATTTGCTAGAGACTTTTTTTTCCACTTTTTGTTTAAAAAGTCTTAATTTTACCTAAATTTTTGAAGGATATTTTTGCTGAATATAAAATTATGGGTTGGATGTTGTTTTCTTTTGGCACTTTAAAGAGGCTATTACAATGTTAGCCTAATTGTTGTTCTTTTGAAGATAATATACCTTTTTCCTCTGTTTATAACATTGCCTTTTTGTCTTTCTCTGTAGTTTAATTATGCTGTGCCTATGTTTTTTTTTTTAACTAGTCATCCTGTTTGGGGTTGGTAGAAGCTTTCTGGATGTGCTTCAAAGTCTTTCTTAACCATTATCTCTTCAAATGTAGTTTCTGCCACCTATTGTCTTTCTTCACTCATTCTGAGACTCCAATTATACACCTGTTGAATCCATATATCATACATATTCTCTTCTGTGTTTTCCATTCTTTTACTTTTCTGTGTTTCAGCCTGGATATTTTCTCTTGACCTATTTTCCAGGTCACTAATTCTCTCCTCAGCTGTGATTAATCTAATAATTCATTGAATTCTTAATTTCAGTTATAGTCTTTTCAGTTCTAGAAATTCTATTTATTCTTTTTGTGTAATTTCCACTTCTTTACCAAAATCTTCACCTTCATGTTTAACTTATAAAACATACTAATTATTTTACTTTAAATTCCAAGTTTAAAATTGCCATCAATCTAATATTTGAATCTTCTGTATGTTCTATTGGTCTAGGTTTTATTTTAACTCTCATTCAATTCTTATCTTTTTATACATCTAATTTGTTTACACTGGGTGCCAAATATTTTGAGAGCTCTGAATGATGTTCTTTTCTATCAGAGAGGATTTACAATTGCTCTTGGCAGGCAACTAGGCTAGGCAGGAAGTGATCACCATATCTAATCAGGGATTGAGCTAATTCAAAACTAAGCCTCTAACATTTCGAGGGATGGTTTATTACTAGCATAACCTTACTCCTAGAGCTCAGTCCTTAGGAGTCCCAACTGAAAATTTCAGGTATTTACCAAAATCCTTTCTCCTTAGAGAGCCCCAAACTCTGATTTTTATCTCCCAGTGCCTAGAGATTGCTGAAGTCTTTGCTTACCCTCCTATCCTCTAAGCCAAGGTTTTAACTTCAGTTTCTCAGCTTCCCCTTTTGAATCAGTAAATGTCTCAAGGGGAAAACTGGTACCAAATATTGGATCATTTCAGTGTGTGTGTGTTTTTTTTTTATATATCCTCACTATCTTGATATTTCTCTGGTGTTATCAAATGTATTTTTAATATTTATTCTAATTTTATAATTGCTTCCATGGCAGAGTTGGTCAGAAACAAACTAGTCTGCCATTATTAAAAATTGCTCTCAGGATGATTTATTGTTTTTTATTTTTTATTAATTTTAACTTTTATTTTAGATTCAGAGAGCACATCTGCAGGTTTGTTACATGTGTATATTGCATGATGCTAGGTTTAGAGTATTACTGATCCTGTCACTCAGGTAGTGAGCACAGTACTCAATAGTTTTTCAACTTTTGTCTCCCTCTCTCTCTCCCTTCCCCCTCTAGTAGTCCCCAGTGTCTGTTGTTGCTGTCTTTATGACCATGTGTACCCAATATTTAGCTCCCACTTATAAGTGAGAACATGTGTTATTTGGTTTTCTGTTCCTTTGTTAATTCACTTAGGACAATGGCCTCCAGCTGCATCCATTTTGCTGCAAAAGACATGATTACATTCTTTTTATGACAGTGTAGTATTCTATGGTATATATCTACCACATTTTCTTTATCCAGTTCACCATTTACGGACATCTAGGTTGAGTCCAAGAATTTGCTGTTGTGAATACTACTATGATGAACATACAGGTATATGTGTCTTTCTTGCAGAATAATTTATTTTCTTTTGGATCCATACACACTAATTGGATTGCTGGGTTGAATGGTAGCTATATTTTAAGTTCTTTGAGAAATCTGCAAACTGCTTTCTACAGTGGCTGAGCTAATTTACATTCCCACCAACAGTGAATAAGCATTCCCTTTTCTCGGCAACCTCTCCAGCATCTGTGGGTTTGGTTTTTTTTTTTTTTTTTTGAGTTTTTATTGATGGAAGATGGCTTATTCTTAAGCATTAGATGACTATAAAAATACTACTGTGTTCAGAGAGGACTTATTTTACCATGGATAACCAAATTCATCCTCATCCTCATTCCTTTACTTTCCTTCATATTATCTTATTTCCTTTAGAGCATTTATCACAACCCGAAATTATCCTGTTTAATTACTTGTGTATTTATTAATGATTTTATTTAAAAAATTGTCTGCCTTTCCCAACTAGAATATAAGTTACATGATAACAAGAACATGACTCCCTTGATTATAACTATATCCAAGTGCCCAGGATTATGCCTAAAATACTCAATTACTATTGTTTGAGTGAATAATGAATGACTGAATGAATAAAATGATCATAATCAGCCAGGAGATTTGAAAGGTGCTTTCCAGGAAGAGATAAATAAATACAACTAAAAAATCATAAGTAATACACTTAGTTGTGGAGAACATTTTATTCTATATATGTATCGCTAATGCAAAGAGTAAGAATGTTCCTCCTAATGGGGTTGATAAAATTTAAAGAAGCCATATCTAAATTTTGTGACAGATTTTCAACCATGTCAGTCATTTAACAAGTATTTGCTGAGTGGCTATTACACTCTGTTAACAGCTTTTCTCTGCAAATTACGAGAAGCCATGGGAGCTTTTGAAAACAAGCACCCATTCATGTTCTTTACTTAAATCAGTAAGTGTTATGGCTACCACTGCTCCTCTCTTCAGTTTATTCTACAATTACTAGTACTATATAGTTAAACTGCAAGATAATTTTCTTCTTCAGTATTTTCTTCATCTTTCCTCTTTAGATCTCTAAAACTGTTTCATATAGAATGTAGTAATTTTTATATATGTTCTTTCCATAAACCTCTCTTACTGTCAGAGTTATGATGTGCATGTACATGCATATATGTATACAGGAGATAAAGTGGGGAATAGAGAGAATAAAATGCTGGTAGAGACTGAAATATATTATTAATGAGTTCACTTTAAATTGGCTGGGTATTCACTCTGCCTGAATCTCTGAACCATGCTCAAAAGGCCATTTGAATGGATGTTTGGTTTTACCTCTCCTAATATTCAGGGAGAAATATGTCCTGCAGCTACCCTGAAACTGTGTGTGTGTGTGTTAAAATCTTGAAAAGCCAATGCTTTCAGCCTACTTATAAGACTCATTTCAAGGTGGGCTGTGACAGCTGGTGATAAAGCACTGCAAGTTGGTGCCAGGTTGGTGCCTTGGTGAACCTCTCCTTTACACCAAAGGGGAGGTGTGTATACCACAGTTACAATCATTGTTTCCAAATACTATCGCACAGACAGGTCTTCCGGAATGGGAATATTTTACTTTTCTAGAAGAGTAAATTCTGTCTCATTACACCTGGACAGGAAATAAAACGGAAAGACGCTGGAACCAATCTAATATATACTGAGTAGTACTTGAAGGCAGATGGAGGAGGCAAATAACATACAACATCTCAGTCTTCTTTCAGTCTCTTCTAATTGCAAAATTCAGCCCCAAACCTGACAAAGATAAAATGTGAGGTAATGCTTGAACATAGGTCAGAAATCAAAATTTTGAAATAGAGGTTGTAAACTGGCAACCCATGGATTGAGCTGATCCTCATATATGTGTTGTTTGGCCTGCACAATGTTCTTAAAAATTTGAATTTAATTCCTTTGGATTGGAAACGTGTCCTTCACTCTGCCAATTCCCCCCTACTGCCTAGTATTTTATACCAAACATGAGTGTCTCAATTATATTGCATGCCAAACTTCCACAGGCATGTCAGTTTGCAACCTCAAATTTAGAATGTATGTATTCAGATTTTTACAATAAATGGAGTTTCCTTAAAATTAATTGCATAGATTAGCTTGCAATTTTTTCAAGAATATTGAACAATGGTCATTATAATTTTTATTTCAAAGCAAATATTCAATATATTCAGTCACTTAGATGCCAGAATAGCCAGAGACACACAATGTACATTTAGAAAGCGAACTGTTGGGCTCCGCTTCATGTTATTCTGTTAGGTTGCCCAAGGTCCCCCAAAAGCATAAAAGAAATACACTATTATAATTGTTATTCTGATTTGTATTTACAAAAATATTACTATCTGTAAAATAAAAATAACAACCACAAAATCTCACTAGCATAGTAGCGTACAACAATAAACATTTGTGCTCAGTAGTCTTATGGGTTGACTAATTTTGCTGCTTTGAGCTGGGTTCAGTGGAGCTCAACTATGTGGCTACTGGCAAGTCAGATGGAGATAGGCTGGCCTAAGATAATCTTACTTGGGACAACTGGTCTCTCCCACTCCACTAGACCAACCTATGGTAGCAATACTGCAAAAGAGACAGAAGAGGACAATTATTCTTGAGGTCTAGGCTCAGAGATGGCATACTATCAAAACATGAAATTGACCAAAGTCACAAGGCCAGTCCAGATTCAAGGCATGAGGAAATAGACTCTACTCTTTGAGGTCATATTACAAAAGGTTGGCTACAAGGAGGGGTAGAACACTGAGGCCATTTTTAAAATCAATATACCACAGTAGTATTTTCTTTTATTTGAGACTGAGTCTCGCTATGTTGTCCAGGCTGGAGTGCAGTGGCATGATTTTGGCTCACCGCAACCTCCGCCTCCCAGGTTCACGCAATTCTGCCTCAGCCTCCCAAGTAGCTGGACTACAGGTGCATGCCACCACGCCCAGCTAATTTTTGTATTTTCAGTAGAGATGGAATTTCACCATATTGGCCAGGTTGGTTTTGAACTCCTGACCTCATGATCCGCCCGCCTCAGCCTCCCAAAGTGTTGGGATTACAGGTGTGAGCCACCATGCCTGGCCCACAGTAATATTCTTTAAATCTCTTTTTTCAATATACCTCAAGATCCTTAGAAATAATTAATGACCTCTGCCAACTTCTTAGGAATGTTCAACTTTAAAAGCATAGAATTTTAATGTTGCCTTAAGGTCTAGGATTCAGGTTCTAAGAATATGTTTGACACTGTTATGGCTTTGGATCTCATACAATCTAAAGACTAAAAAGGTTTTTAAAAAACAAAATAATTTAGTGGCAGAACCAGAAATAGATATTTCCTCAGCATTTATTCTGATTATCCTCAGACTTTGTTGGTTTTTTCCTTTTTCTTTTCTTCTTTTTATTAAGGTTATAGAAAACATTTCATAGGAGAAACTTTTAGTTGGTGTGGTAATTCTTTCATCATATTGATCAATTATTAAACCCAATAGAATAATCGTAAAAATTTATCTAAATTCTGAAGATTTTTATTCAATTTATGATTTTGAGGTAATTTACTGCCTAAAAAAGCAATTAGACCCCAATTGGCTTTTCTTTCAGACAACATATTGCATAATTTTGAACAAGAAATATTATATTGTAATTGTTTGAAGATCCCTATATGTATACTAACACATCAATTAACACATCAATTATGCGTATATCACTCAAATCCCCAAACTACTGTTTGTATAAGCAAATGTAGAGAAAATTGAATATTTAAGTCTAGTTGCAGTATGTCTTTCTAAGAATGGAGTTTAGCTTCTGTGACATGCAGGGATTTATTTCTGTAGCATCTGTTGAGCACCACACAACTAGCTAAGCATGGAAAACACAAGACACACTCCCTGCCCTTAATGAGCTCACAATAGAAAAAGAAGCAGGGATGGTTTTTTGTTTTTATTTTTATTTTTTGAGATGGAGTCTCACTCTGTCACCCAGGCTGGAGTGCAGTGGTGCGATCTCGGCTCGCTGCAAGCTCCGCCTCCTGGGATCATGCCATTCTCCTGACGCAGCCTTCCAAGTAGCTGGAAATACAGGAGCCCGCCACCACGCCTGGCTAATTTTTTTTTTTTTTTTTTGTATTTTTAGTAGAGACAGGGTTTCACCGTGTTAGCCAGGATGGTCTCGCTCTCCTGACCTCGTGATCCACCCACCTCAGCCTCCCACAGTGCTGGGATTACAGGCGTGAGCCACCGCAACCGGCCAGAAGCAGGCATGTTTTTCACTAGCTATAGTACAGTGAAAATCCTGGAACAGAAAGTGTTTTCTTCCACCAAATAGAAATTGTAATAAATTTCTCAAGAAAGAGCTTAAAAGGGCCGGGTGCAGTGGCTCACACCTCTAAGCCTAGTGTGTCCGGAATTGGTGGGTTCTTGGTCTCACTGACAAAGAATGAATCCGTGGACCCTCGCGGTGAGTGTTAACAGTTCTTAAAGATGGTGTGTCGGGAGTTTTTTCCTTCTGATGTTCGGATGTGTTCAGAGTTTCTTCCTTCTGGTGGGTTCGTGGTCTCGCTGGGTCAGGAGTGAAGCTGCAGACCTTCACAGTGAGTGTTACAGCTCATAAAGGCAGTGCAAACCCAAAAGAGTGAGCAGCAGCAAGATTTAATTGCAAAGAGCAAAAGAACAAAGCTTCCACACTGTGGAAGGTGACCAGACCTGGTTGCCACTGCTGGCTTGGGCAGCCTGCTTTTATTCCCTTATCTGGCCCCACCCACATCCTGCTGATTGGTCCATTTTACAGAGAGCTGACTGGTCTGTTTTACAGAGAGCTGATTGGTTCGTTTTGACAGGGTGCTGATTGGTGCATTTACAATCCCTGAGCTGGACACAAAAGTTCTCTAAGTCCCCATTAGATTAGCTAGACACAGAGCACTGATTGGTGCATTTACAAACCTTGAGCTGGACACAGGGTGCTGATTGGTGTGTTTATAAACCTTGAGCTAGACACAGAGTGCTGATTGGTGTATTTACAATCCTTTAGCTAGACATAAAGGTTCTCCAAGTCCCCACTAGATTAGCTAGATACAGAGTGCTGATTGGTGCATTTACAAACCTTGAGCTAGACACAGAGTGCTGGTTGGTGTATTTACAATCCCTTAGCTAGACATAAAGGTTCTCCAAGTCCCCACTAGATTAGCTAGACACAGAGCACTGATTGGTGCATTTACAAACCTTGAGCTAGACACAGGGTGCTGATTGGTGTATTTACAAACCTTGAGCTAGACACAGAGTGCTGATTGGTGTATTTACAATCCCTTAGCTAAACATAAAGGTTCTCCAAGTCCCCACTAGACTCAGGAGCCCAGCTGGCTTCACCTAGAGGATCCTGCACCAGGGCCACAGGCAGAGCTGCCCACTAGTCCCACACCATGCACCCACACTCCTCAGCCCTTGGGCAGTCGATGGGACTGGGCACCACGGAGCAGGGGGCAGTGCTCGTCGGGGAGCCTTGGGCCGTGCAGGAGCCACGGTGCAGGGGAGGCTCAGGCATGGCAGGCTGCAGGTACCAAGCCCTGCCCTGCAGGGAGGCAGCTGAGGCCCAGCGAGAATTCGAGTGCAGTGCCGGTGGGCCGGCACTGCTGGGGGACCTGGCACACCCTCTGCAGCTGCTGGCCTGGGTGCTAAGCCCCTCACTGCCCGGGGTCGGTGGCACTGGCTGGCTGCTCTGAGTGCGGGGCCTGCCAAGCCCACGCCCACCAGGAACTGGCACTGGCCTACAAGCACCAAGCGCAGCCCCGGTTCCCACCCGCACCTCTCCCTCCACACCTCCCAGCAAGCAGAGGGAGCTGGCTCCGGCCTCAACCAGCCCAGAGAAGGGCTCCCACAGTGCAAGAGTGGGCTGAAGAGCTCCTCAAGCACGGCTAGAGTGGGCGCCGAGGCCGAGGAGGTGCCAAGAGTGAGCGAGGGCTGCAAGGGCTGCCAGCACACCATCACCTCTCACTAGCACTTTGGGAGGCCGAGGCAGGGGGATTACCAGAGGTCAAGAATTCGAGACCAGCCTGGCCAACATGTTGAAACCCTGTCTCTACTAAAAATACAAAAAAATTAGCCAGGCATGGTGGTGCACGCCAGTAGTCCTAGTTACTCCAGAGGCTGAGGCAGGAGAATCACTTAAACCTGGGAAGTGGAGGTTGCAGTGAGCTGAGAATGCACCACTGCACTCCAGCCTGGGCGACAAAGTGGGACTTCATCTCGAGAAAATAATAATTTTTTGAAAAAAGAGCTTAAGCTTAAAAGGCATTCTCCAAGCCACCCAACCTCCATGGAAACATATATGTAGCTCTTCATGAAAAATTAGCCCTAGCTTCACCAGGCTAATTCAACTCTTCCCTGAACCACTTTTTCCTTGACTGCCTAAATAGTTTGACTATGCTGCCATCCTTAGGACATGGGAACACTATCAGAAAAGCATGCCCTTTAGATGATTTTTGCTGCTGTCCTGTCCTGAAAACCCTTTCCTGTCCATATGCAGGCTTCCCATTATTTACCCCAGCCTCCTCATGAAAGGTGAACAAAAAGATTGACAGCAGCCAGCAAGGCCTCAGTGTCACACCAATCCAGGCAGTTGGTGGTGGGGGGAATCATTCACAGTGTATGCTAAGGAAATGGGGCCCTGCAACAGCACTGTCTCAATTTTGGCAAGGATCTTACCATGGAGTGAAGGCACTTTCTGCATATAACAATGCTTTGCTTTTGCTATTTAATGACTCATAATGACCTAATCATGAATTATGATTTGTAACTTAAGTTCTTTTTTTATATATAGATATACACTTTAAGTTCTAGGGTACATGTGCACAATGTGTGGGTTTGTTACATAAGTATTCATGTGCCATGTTGGTTTGCTGCACCCATCAACTCGTCATTTACATTAGGTATTTCTCCTAATGCTATCCCTCCCCCAGCCCCCCACACCCCAACAGGCCCTGATATGTAATGTTCCCCACCCTGTGTCCATGTGTTCTCATTGTTCAACTCCAACCTATGAGTGAGAACATGCGGTGTTTGGTTTTCTATCCTTGTGATAGTTTGCTTAGAAAGAGGGTTTCCAGCTTCATCCGTGTCCCTGCAAAGGATATTAACTCATCCTTTTTATGGCTGCATAGTATTCCATGGTGTATATGTGCCACATTTTCTTAATCCAGTCTATCATTGATGGACATTTGGGTTGGTTCCAAGTGTTTGCTATTGTGAATTGTGCCGCAATAAACATACGTGTGCATGTGCATGTGTCTTTATAGTAGAATGATTTATAATCCTTTGAGTATATACCCAGTAATGGGATTACTGGGTCAAATGGCATTCCTAGTTCTAGATCCTTGAGGAACCGCCACACTGTCTTCCACAATGGTTGAACTAATTTACACTCCCACAAACAGTATAAAAACATTCCTATTTCTCTACATCCTCTCCAGCATCTGTTCTTTCCTGACTTTTAATGATCGCCATTCTAACTGGCATGAGATGGTATCACACTGTGATGTTGATTTGCATTTCTCTGATGACCAGTGATGATGAGCATTTTTTTTTATGCCTGTTGGCTACATAAATGTCTTCTTTTGAGAAGTGTCTGTTCATATCCTTTGCCTACTTTTTGATGGGGTTGTTTGTTTCTTGTAAATTTGTTTAGGTTCCTTTTAGATTCTGGATATTAGCCCTTTTTCAGATGGATAGATTGTAAAAATTTTCTCCCTTCCCGTAGGTTGCCCTTTCACTGTGATGATAGTTTCTTTTGCTGTGCAGAAGATCTTTACTTTAATTAGATCCCATTTGTCGATTTTGGTTTTTGTTGCCATTGCTTTTGGTGTTTTAGTCATGAAGTCTTTGCCCATGCCTGTGACCTGAATGGTATTGCCTAGGTTTTCTTCTAGGGTTTTTATAGTTTTAAGTCTTACATTTAAGTCTTTAATCCATCTCAAGTTAATTTTTATATATGATGTAAGGAAGGAATCCAGTTTCAGCTTTCTACATATAGCAAGGCAGTTTTCCCAGCACCATTTATTAAATAGGAAATCCTTTCCCTATTGCTTTTGTCAGGTTTGTCAAAGATCAGATGGCTATAGATGTGTGGTGTTATTTCTGAGGCCTCTGTGTATCTGTTTTAGTATGAGTACCATGCTGTTTTGGTTACTGTAGCCTTGTAGTATAGTTTGAAGTCAGGTAGTGTGATGCCTCCAGCTTTGTTCTTTTTGCTTAGGATTGTCTTGGCAATTTGGGCTCTTCTTTGGTTCCATGTGAACTTTAAAGTAGTTTTTTCCAATTCTGTGAAGAAAATCAGTGGTAGCTTGATGGGGATAGCATTGAATCTATAAATTACCTTGAGCAGTATGGCCATTTTCACGATATTGATTCTTCCTATCCATGAGCATGGAATGTTAATCCATTTGTTTGTGTCCTCTTTTATTTCATTAAGCAGTGGTTTGTAGTTTTGCTTAAAGAGGTCCGTCACATCCCTTGTAAGTTGGATTCCTAGGTATTTTATTCTCTTTGTAGTAATTGTGAATGGAAGTTCACTCATGAATTGGCTCTCTGTTTGTCTATTATTGGTTTATAGGAATGCTTGTGATTTTTGCACATTGATTTTGTATCCTGAGACTTTGCCGAAGTTGCTTATCAGTTTAAGGAGATTTTGGGCTGAGACAATGGGATTTTCTAAATATACAATCATGTCATCTGCAAACAGAGACAATTTGACTTCTTCTATTCCTAATTTAATATGCTTTATTTCTTTCTCTTGCCTGATTGCCCTGGACTTCCAACACTATGTTGAATAGAAGTGGTGAGAGAGGTCATCCTTGTCTTGTGCGGGTTTTCAAAGGGAATGCTTCCGGTTTTTGTCCATTCAGTATGACATTGGCTGTGGGTTTGTCATAAATAGCTCTTATTATTTTCAGATACATTCCATCAAAATACCTAGTTTACTGAGAGTTTTTAGCATTAAGGGCTGTTGAATTTTGTCGAAGGTGTTTTCTGCATCTATTGACATAATCATGTGGTTTTTGTCATTGATTCTGTTTATGTGATGGATTACGTATATTGATTTGCATATGTTGAACCAGCCTTGCATCCGAAGGATGAAGCTGACTTGATCGTGGTGGATAAGTTTTTTGATGTGATGCTGGATTTGGTTTGCCAGTATTTTATTGAGGATTTTCGCATCGATGTTCATCAGGGATATTGGCTTAAAATTTTCTTTTTTTGTTGTGTCTCTGCCAGGCTTTGGTATCAGTGCAGCCTGCCATGCCCAAGCCCCCCCAACGGTAGGCTCTTGTGCAGCCCGAGCCTCCCTGACAGGTGCCACCCCCTGCTCTGCGGTGCCCAGTCCCATCGACCACCCAACGGCACAGGAGTGCAGGCACATGGCGCGGGACTGGCAGGAAGCTCTGCCCACGGCCCTGGCGTGGGATCCACTAGGTGAAGCCAGCTGAGCTCCTGAGTTGGGTGGGGACTTGGAGAACTTTTATATCTAGCCAGAGGATTGTATATGCACCAATCAGCACTCTGTGTCTAGTTCAGGGTTCGTGGATGCACCAATCAGCACTCTGTATCTAGCTAATCTGGTGGGAACTTGGAGAACCTTTATGTCTAGCTAAAGGATTGTAAATACACCAATCAGCACAGTGTCTAGCTCAAGGTTTATAAACACACCAATCAGCACCCTATGTCTAGCTCAAGGTTTGTAAATGCACCAATCAGTGCTCTGTGTCTAGCTAATCTAGTGGGGACTTGGAGAACTTTGATGTCTAGCTCAAGGTCTGTAAACACACCAATCAGCACTCTGTGTCTAGCTCAAGGTTTTAAACGCACCAATCAGCACTCTGCGTCTAGCTCAGGGATTGTAAATGCACCAATCAGCTCTCTGTAAAATGGGCCAATCAGCAGGATGTGGGTGGGGTCAGATAAGGGAATAAAAGCAGGCTGCCCAAGCCAGCCCCGGCAACCCGCTCGGGTCCCCTTCCATGCTGTGGAAGCTTTGTTCTTTCGCTCTTTGCAATAAATCTTGCTGCTGCTCACTCTTTGGGTCTGCACCACCTTTATGAGCTGTAACACTCACCATGAAGGTCTGCAGCTTCACTCCTGAAGCCAGTGAGACCACGAACCCAATGGAAGGAATGAAGAACTCTGGACGCGCCACCTTTAAGAGCTGTAACACTCACCATGAAGGTCTACAGCTTCACTCCTGAAGTCAGTGAGACCACAAACCCACCAGAAGGAAGAAACTCCAGACACATCTGAATATCTGAAGGAACAAACTCCAGACACACCATCTTTAAGAACTGTAACACTCACTGTGAGTGTCCGTGGCTTCATTCTTGAAGTCAGGGAGACCAAGAACCCACCAATTCCAGACACATCAGGATGATGCTGGCCTCATAAAAGGAGTTAGGGAGGATGCCCTCTTTTTCTATTAATTGGAATACTTTCAGAAGCAATGGTACCAGCTCCTCTTTGTACCTCTGGTAGAATTCGGCTGTGAATCCTTCTGGTCCTGGACTTTTTTTGGTTGGTAGGCTATTAATTATTGCACCAATTTCAGAACTTATTAATGGTCTATTCAGACATTCAACTTCTTCTTGGTTTAGTCTTGGGAGGATGTATGTGTCCAGGAATTTATCCATTTCTTCTAGATTTTCTAGTTTATTTGCATAGAGGTGTTTATAGTATTCTCTGATGGTAGTTTGTATTTCTTTGGTATCAGTGGTAATATCCCCTATATCATTTTTTATTGCGTCTATTTGATTCTTCTCTCTTTTCTTCTTTATTAGTCTTGCTAGCCATCTATCAATTTTGTTGATCTTTTCAAAAAATCAGCTCCTGGATTCATTGATTTTTTGAAGGGTTTTTTTGTGTCTCTACCTCCTTCAATTCTGCTCTGATCTTAGTTATTTCTTGCCTCCTGCTAGCTTTTGAATTTGTTTGCTCTTGCTTCTCTAGTTCTTTCAATTGTGATGTGAGGGTGTTGATTTTAGATCTTTCCTGATTTCTCTAGTGGGCATTCAGTGCTATAAATTTCCCTCTGTACACTGCTTTAAATGTGTCCCAGAGATTATGCTACAATGTGTCTTCGTTCTCATTGGTTTCAAAGACCATGCTTATTTCTGCCTTCATTTTGTTGTTTACCCAGTAGTCATTCAGGAGAAGGTTGTTCAGTTTCCATGTAGTTGTGTGGTTTTAAGAAAGTTTATTAATCCTGAGTTCTAATTTGATTGCATTTTGGTCTGAGAGACTGTTTGTTATGATTTATGTTATTTTACATTTGCTGAAGAGTGTTTTACTTCCAATTATGTAGTCAATTTTAGAATAAGTACAATGTGGTGCTGAGAAGAATGTATATTCTCTTGACTTGGGGTGGAGAGTTTTGCAGATGTCTATTAGGTCTGCTTGGTCCAGAGCTGAGTTCAATTCCTGGATATCCTTGTTAATTTTCTGTCTCATTGATCTGTCTAATATTGACAGTGTGGTGTTAAAGTCTCCTATTATTATTGTGTGGGAGTCCAAGTCTCTTTGTAGGTCTCTAAGGACTTGCTTTATGAATCTGGGTGCTCCTGTATTGGGTGCATATATATTTAGGATAGTTAGCTCTTCTTATTGAATTGATTCCTTTACCATTATGCAGTGGCCTTCTTTGTCTCTTTTGATCTTTTTTGGTTTAAAGTCTGTTTTATCAGAGACTAGGATTGCCACCCCTGCTTTTTTTTTGCTTTCCATTTGCTTGGTAGATCTTCCTCCATCTATTCATTTTGAGCCTATGTGTGTCTTTGCACATGAGATTGGTCTCCTGAATACAGCACAGTGATGGGTCTTGACTCTTTACCCAATTTTCCAACCTGTGTCTTTTAATTATGGCATTTAGCCCATTTACATTTAAGGTTAATATTGTTATGTTTGAGTTTGATTCTGTCATTATGATATTAGCTGGTTATTTTGCCCATTAATTGATGCAGTTTCTTCATAACATCAATGGTCTTTACAATTTGGCATGTTTTTTCAGTGGCTGGTACCAGTTGTTCCTTTCCATGTTTAGTGCTTTCTTCAGGAGCTCTTGTAAGGAAGGCCTGGTGGTGACTAAATCTCTCAGCATTTGCTTGTCTGTAAAGGATTTTATTTATCCTTCACTTATGAAGCTTAGTTTGGCTGAATATTAGATTCTGGGTTGAAAATTCTTTTCTTTAAGAATGTTGAATATTGGCCCCCACTCTCTTCTGGCTTGTGGGTTTCTGCTGAGAGATCTGCTGTTATCTGATGGGCTTCCCTTTGTGGGTAACCCGACCTTTCTCTCTGGCTGCCCTTAACATTTTTTTCCTTCATTTTAACCTTGGTGAATCTGATAATTATGTGTCTTGGGGTTGCTCTTCTCGAGGAGTATCTTTATGGTGTTCTCTGTATTTCCTGAATTTGAATGTTGGCCTGCCTTGCCAGGTTAGGGAAGTTCTCCTGGATAATATCCTGAAGAGTTTTCTAACTTGATTCTATTCTCCCCATCACTTTCTGGTACACCAATCAAACGTATATTTGGTCTTTTCACATAGTCCCATATTTCTTGAAGTCTTTGTTCATTTCTTTCCATCTTTTTTCTCTAATCTTGTCTTCTCACTTTATTTCATTAATTTGATCTTCAATCACTGATATCCTTTCTTCCACTTGATCGAATCGGCTATTGAAACTTGTGCATGCGTCATGAAGTTCTCATGCTGTGGTTTTCAGCTCCATCAGCTCATTTAAGGTCTTCTCTACATTGTTTATTCTAGTTAGCCATTTGTCTAACCTTTTTTCAAGGTATTTAGCTTCCTTGCAATGGGTTAGAACATGCTCCTTTAGCTCGAAGAAGTTCATTATTACCGACCTTCTGAAGCCTACTTCTGTCAACTCATCAAATTCATTCTCCATCCAGTTTTGTTCCATTGCTGGAAAGGAGCTGCGATCCTTTGGAGGAGAAGAGGTGCTCTGGTTTTGGGAATTTTCAGCTTTTTTGCTCTGGTTTTTCCCCATCTTTGTGGTTTTATGTACCTTTGGTCTTAGATGTTGGCGACCTACGGATGGGGTTTTGGTGTGGATGTCCTTTTTGTTTATGTTGATGTTATTCCTTTCTGTTTGTTAGTTTGCCTTCTAACAGTCAGGCCCCTCAGCTGCAGGCCTGTTGGAGTTTGCTGGAGGTCCACTCCAGATACTGTTTGCCTGGGTATCACCAGCAGAGGCTACAGAACAGCAAATATTGCTGCCTGATCCTTCCTCTGGAAGCTTCATCCCAGAGGGACACCCGCCTGTATGAGGCGTCTGTCGGCCCCTACTGGGAAATGTCTCCCAGTCAGGCTACATGGGGGTCAGCGACCCCCTTGAGGAGGTAATCTGTCCATTCTCAGAGCTCGGACACTGTGCTGAGAGAACCACTGCTCTCTTCAGTGCTATCAGACAGGGACGTTTAAGTCTGCAGAAGCTGTCTGCTGTCTTTTGTTCTGCTATGCCTTGCCCTCAGAGGTGGAATCTATAGAGGCAGTAGGCCTTGCTGAGCTGCAGTGGGCTCTGCCCAGTTTGAGCTTCCCGGCCACTTTGTTTACACTGTGAGCTACTCAAGTGTCAGCAATGGTGGATGCCTCTCCCCCCGTCAAGGTGCAGCATCGCAGGTTGATCTCAGATTGCAGCACTAGCAGTGAGCAAGGCTCCATGCATGTGGGACCTGCTGAGCCAGGCTTAGGAGGGTATCTCCTGGTCTGCCGGTTGCTAAGACTGTGGGAAAAGTGCAGTATTTGGTCAGAAGTGTACCGTTTCTCCAGGTACAGTCTGTCATGGCTTCCCTTGGCTAGGAAAGGGAAATCCCCCGACCCCCTGTGCTTCCCAGGTGAGGCAGCACCCTGCCCTGCTTCAGCTCACCCTCCATGGGCTGCACCTACTGTCCAACAAGTCCAAATGAGATGAACCAGGTACCTCAGTTGGAAATGCAGAAATCACCCATCTTCTGAGTCAATCTCACTGGGAGCTGCAGACCGGAGCTGTTCCTATTTGGCCATCTTGGAAGCGACTGATTTGTAACTCTGGTTCTAACAAGAATGTCATGTTAACTGGCACTGTAATCATTCAGGATTTTGGTATGAGAATAAACTAATAAATGGGTGGGTCCAGAATCTAGAAGGAAGCCAATACTTACTATACACATATATATGTATGTATGTGTGTGTGTATATATATATATATATATATATATATATATTATGTATAACATTACAGTACCAACTTTTTCATATAATCTCCACTGTCATCTTTCAAATGAGTAATTTTCTAAGCACTCATTATGTGGACTATTTTTCTTCTATCTGTCCCTTGAATGTTATACCCCTCAGAGTTCCAATCTCTGTCATATTTTCTTCTCAGTAGCTATATTCTCCCATTGATCTCATCCAGAAGATGGCATTTACTACTGCCTACATGTGACCATATCCTAAATTCACATCTTTAGAAAGAGCTCTTTCCTGAGTTCCATACCCAATTCTCCTATCTTCTAGGCCTCTTGGTTGAAGTATTCCTTGTGCCCCCTCCAACTTTACCTGTCTAAAATTGAATTTATTATCTTTTCCCTCAACCCTTATCTCTTCTTGTATTTTCTCCATATTAACAGCATCATCATTTTCTCAGTTTCTCGGGCACCCAAATCTGAAAATTATTTAGACAAAACACCCAAAGGCAATGAGTGTAGTCTACCTCAGCTCTGTAACAACTGTGCCTTATTCTCCATCCCCACAGTACTGATTCAATTCCAGTCCTCATTATCTCCTCTCTGGAATATGATCAAAGTTTCCTGCCTGCAATCTGAAATCAACCCGAAAAAAAAAACCTACTAAAATTAGCTTCAAAATGATATCTAATCACACAACTCTATTCTGTAAAATGCTTCCACGGTTTTCCTATTTCCCCAGGATAAGGTCCAATCCTTGGCACAGCATTGTACGTGCACACACACCACACACCACCCAGAACCATCTGTTTTCTTCCCATATGTAACCTCATCTCCTGTCACCTCCACATACTCCTTATGTTGTAACTGCAACTCAACATTCTATTAATGTGCCATGTTGCCTCACATCTTTGAGACTTGACAAATAATGTTCTCATTTATGGCCTACAAATTGACAAAAATGTAAAAGATTGATAAGCTGTAGAAAAACAGATATTTTCATATGCCTTTGGTAAAAGTCTCAGTTGTTACTAACTTTTTGGAAAACAAACTGGCAGTTATAGTAGAATACATGATCTTTCCATTTAGTGGGAGAACATATTAAACACTGATCTTCCTGCTTCAATTTTATTTAACTAAAATTTACCAGTAAGAAACATTGTTAAATAAGTGAGATTCTAAGTAACTAATCAGTGTCATATCATGTCAAAAAACATAAATATATATTCTTTTAACCGCTGAATTTTTAAACCTCTTTTCTTAAGAGCAAGATTTTTTTCACTATCTCCTCCAAGAATCAGCACATATATTTTTAAAAAGCTAAGAGCTTGTAACATAGATGAGAAAGAAATGGCCCTAAAAAGCGAAGCTATTACTGCAGATGGCCTTCAAGCAATCCCATACCTCCTTGAGCCCTCATTAAAGTTTATTTTTTATAAGAAACACATTGAAGGTCAGTATGCTGTACTGAGTAAATTGAATGTGGATGCTCTTTCACACCGGGTTGTGAGGAGGACTTGGAACAATCCCAAAAATGAAACAAGCTCACTGTTTTTGAGAGAAAAAGAAACATTGTTAGCATCTTAGTGAAGTTTGCAGTTTTGCCGCTGAGCCCCTTATGATGAGTCAGGTGGACAGCCTGAGCTGAGAAAGGTGAGTGATGGACAGATGATAGGTCAATATGACCAGAGTGTTTACAGAGAGTCGGTGAGACATCTGCCGCCCCCCTGGCTTGGTATATCCAAATCCATGTTTTATCATCAGCTAAATGGGGAGAAAAGGAGCTGACTCTGCCAGCTTTTTAAAACTGACCCTACATGTCCTCATTCACCACTGCACACCCCCCTGGGGTGACCTACTTGCCAGTCCTTAAAACATTAAGAGTTTGGATGTTGGAATAACATAAAACTATTTTAAAGCAAGGTTTATGGGAAGTACACACTCCAGAATTTATCAGATCAAATACAGATAAATTGCAGACCTACAATTGGCATTTTTTATACTTTCATTGTTTCATTAAGCACGTTCGTAAATATAAATAAAAACTTCAGTTTATAGGCATATACAATTGGGCTACGAAGAGTGAGTATTTGTGACAGGCATTTGCTGACAAATAATTCTTTTCTTTTTTTTTTCGATTAACCATTGCCTTCAATAGAGTTGAGAACTAGAAGTTAGCAGCCGAGGAATAAAATGTAAATAGCAAATTCCCTAAGTAAGAACCCACCTTCAGCTATACTCATAAAGAAAATCATATACCAGTCATACAGCAAAGTATTAGCAATAGTTTTATAAAGGGAAATCAAAAGAACAAAAGACTCCTTTTCTATTCTCAGAAAAAAACACCAGCACATACAGGCACTGGTCTAAAACAGGACTAATGTTCAAAATCAATGAATTATGCATAGGGGAGGAAGGACTGAAATCGATTTCGTTCACATATTCCTTATTGTTTCTATTTTTCAGGACAAAATATATTTTTTATTGTCTTTCATTTTTAATCAGGCCATTTTTTTTTTAGTTTTTAGTAGAGACAAGGTTTCTTTATGTTGGCCAGGCTGGTTTCAAACTCCTGGCCTCAAGTGATCCACCCACCTCAGCCTCCCAAAGTGCTGGGATACAGGTGTTGTTTTATTACTAATGTGACTTAGGAGTTAAGTTGTAAATTTTTTGGAACTAGGAGGATAAATCTATTATGTATTTTAACTGCAGTTGGAAAAAGAAACATTCTCAAAAACAATCCTTCAGACAAGCCAGCGCAATGCAGAGAAAGCCTAATTCATTTGGCTATGGGGCTTTTGTTGTTTTTGTCTTTTTCTGAAGTGGGGGCTATGTCTTAATCTCATATAAGGAAAATATATGTCATTTTAAAATTATTAAAAAAATGTTAGTCCTTGCAAACTGAGCTAGAAAAATATTTTCTCCTGGATATTATAAATTTACTATTCTCAATATTTTAACAGACATGGGACTCTCCTGCTCCCCAATGTGGTGGGCAGAATGCTAAAATGATCCCCCTTTCTGTACACACTGTGTATAATCCCCTCCCTTTGAGTGTGGGATCTATGAATATCACAGGATATCACTCCTGTAATTAGATTATGTTATATGGCAAAGGTGAAGGGATTTTGCAGATGCAATTAAGGTCTTTAATAACTTAAACTTAAGTTAATTAAAAGGAAGATTATCTTAGGTGGACCTGACATAATCAGGCAGGACCTTTCAAAAGAAGGGGGTTTAGAGATCAGAGACAGACTTCAGAGAGATTTGAAGCAAAAAAAATAATAAAAGCCACCACTCTCCAGCTGGCCTTGAGAAACAGACAGACATGCTATAAACTGCATTTGGAAAGAGCCAGCCTCTAAGAATGAAGGGCCTCAGTCCTACAAGCTCAAGCAACTGGATTTTGCCAACAGCCTGAATGAGCCTGGGAGAAGATTCCAAGGCTCAGATGAGATTATAGCCCCAGATGATACCTTGATTTCAACGTGGTAGGACCTTAACTCATACTTGGACTCCTAACCCACAGAAATTGTAAAAAGATAATTTACATTGGTTTAAGCTGGTAAACTTGTGGTAATTTATTACACAGCACTAAAAAGTAATAGACCCAGCAAATTGTTGGCCAAGTTTAATAGAACATTCTTGAGTGGAAAGAACAGTAGAAGTCATCTAGTCCCATTTTTCATTCAATTAGTTATGTAAATACTTTTCTGATTAGAGAAATTAATTAATGTCTCCTTGTTTCTTTGTCTGCGTGCTCCATAGTTCATCATGAGGTGTTATGTAGCTTTGAGGAACTGATCTCATAATGTATTCATTTCCTTAGATATACCTCTCATGTTTACTAATATGATCGAAACCAACATGGGCTGAGAGTAATATGAGGGCAAAGTATTCCACTATGCTACATGGTACTTATTTCCAGTTAGCTGGTCCAAAAGCAGGTTTGAGATTTAGCTATCCAATTTAGCTCATTAGGATGTGACCACTGATTTGAATCTAAAAATTGGATGTGGGCCCATTCTAGATTGTCATTTGTGAATAGAAGGGAATTTATGCACTTACATAACTTCTGACTAGGAGTCAGTCAGAATATTCAGGTGCAGATTCTACCTCTGCCACTAATTCATTGTGTCATTTTACACGAGGCCCAAATCTCCGTACATAATTTATAAAATTACATGAATTATTAGAGGAGACTCTGGTGGTCCTTCTAGTACAAACGTTCTAAGATCATGTTAGTTCATGTCTATTTCTTAAAGTAGGCCTATGCCTACACCAGCTCACTTGATTTCTTTGCTATACTCACTAGAAATATTGTTTCATTTGTATTCTCTCTAAATGAAGTGTATCAATGATAAAAACAACTCATAGAAGTGATATAATGGAATATTTGGCATTTGCCCACCTAATATCCCAAGTTATAGCAGACAGAAAAAATGAGAGGCAAAATGAAGGGGAACAAAGGGGAATAAAAGAGAAGAACTAGGAATAAGAAAAATATAGACTAAGAGACAGCGTTTGCAAAGGGCAAAAACAGCCAACTTTTCCAACCTCATCTCCTTCCAAGGGAGGAATCCCAGGGAATCTCAAGATTCCCATACAAAAAGGAGATCCCCACAATCCAAGATCCCCACAATCCAAGAAAAGTGTGAATTGGCTTCTAGCCTACCTATAATGTAATAGCCTCTCTATAATATGAATTCACAATGTCCTTAGAAACAACTATGAAATACACAGGGTCTTAAAGGCATCTCAGATTTTGTCCACAAGACTCTAATCATATTGAAGAAGATTTCATCTCTCAGAGGTCCTATGAAATGATATCACTAAGCTCCTAGAAGACAGAGTCAATGTTTAATAATTTTCTGTATTATCTAGAACAATGTTGTATAAAATATTAGCTACTGATAAACGCTTTTTCAGAACCATACTGAGAACAGTATGCTTTAATAGGGGATCTGTTAATACCACACAGAAAGGAACAATTCAACCATCTGTTTCATTTACTTTTTTCCCATCTGTCCCATTTAAACATCAGTGAGCGTATCTTTAAGAGGCTTGAAACAAATTTTCAGACTGACCATGAATGCTGAGGGGGCCACATGGTAACTACGACCCCCTTAATGATATCTAATTCCCATAAATCTCCTGGATCTTAAAGAGTGTGAACCAAAAACAAATTACCTGGGTCCTTCACAGCATCAATTTCAAATGATCTGGTAAAAGGGAAACAAATGTGTTTCTCTAGTTAATAAACATTTCATTCCAAAGTTCACAAAAGTTCCTCTTGTTCCTGCTCCTGCCATTTGATGTGCAAGCTCCCACTTTGCCTTCTGCCATGAGTAAAAGCTCTCTAAGGCCTCCTCAGAAGCTAAGCAGATGCTGGCACCATGCTTCCTGTGCAGCCTGTAGAATCATAAGCCAATTAAACCTCTTTTCCTTATGAATTACCCATTTCTTTATAGCAATGCAAGAAGATCCTAACACAGAAAATTGGTACCAAGGAGTGGGGCACTGCTATAAATATACCTAAACACGTGGAAGCAGCTTTGGAACTGGATAACAGGCAGAGGTTAAAAGAGTTTGGAGGGCTCAGAAGAAGATAGGAAAACAAGAGAAAGTTTGGAACTTCTTAAAGACTGCTTAAATGATTGTGACCAAAACGCTAATAGTGATATGTACCATGAAGTCCAAGCTAACAAAGTCTCAGATGGAAATTAGGAACTTATTGGGCAAAGGTAACACACGTTATGCCTTAGCAAAGAACCTGGCTGAATTGTGTCCATGCCCTAGGGATCTGTGAAAGTTTGAACTTCAAAATGATTATTTAAACTATCTAGTGGAAGAAATTTCTAAGCAGCAGAACATTCAAGATGTGGCCTGATTTCTAACAACCTACACTCAGAGAGGGATCAAAAGAATAATTTAAAGTTGAAATTTATATTTAAAGAGGAAGCAGAACATCAAATTTTGGAAAATTTGCAGCCTAGCCATGTGGCAGAGAAAGAAAAACCATTTTCAGAGGAGGAATTCAAGCAGGCTGTGAGCAACCACTTGCATAACTTTAGTTATGCACCATGTACTAATAGCCAAGACATTGGGAAAAACTGCCTTGAAGGCATTTCAGAGACTTTCATGACAGCCCCTCTTATCACAGGTCCAGATGTCTAGGAGGACTGAATGATTTTGTGGGCCAGCCCCAGGGTCTGGATGCTCTGTGCAGCCTTGGGGCACTACTTCCTAAGTCCTAGCCACTCCAGCTCCAGCTGTGGCTCAAAGGAGCCCAGGTGCAGCTCAGGCTGCCATGTTGGAGAATGCAAGACATAAGCCTTGGCAGCCTGTATGTAGTGTTAAGCCCACAGGTGCACAGAGTGTGACAGTGAAGGAGGCGTGGCAGCCTCTGCCTAGATTTCAGAGGATGCATGAGAAAGTCTGGGTGCTTAGCCAGAATCTTGCCACTGGGGCTCGCAAAGAACCTCTACTAGGGCAGTGTGGAGAAGTGTAAGGCTGAAAGTCCAATACAGAGTCCCCACTGGAACAATGTCTAGCAGAGCTGTGGAAAAAGGGACACTGTCCTCCAGACCCCAGAATGGCAGCTCCACCACCAGCTTGCAACATGCACCTGGAAAAACTGCAAGTACTCAATGCCAAATGATGACAGCAGCTGTGGAAGCTGAACCCAGCAAAGCCGCCCAAGGCCTTGGGATCCCACCCCTTGCACCAGTGTGCCCTGGATGAGGGACATAGAATCAAAGATTATTTTGGAGCTTTAAGATTTACTGACAACCCTGTTGGGTATTGAAGTTGCATGGGGCCTGTAGCCCCTTTCTTTTGGCCAATTTCTCCCTTTTGGAATGGGAATGTTTACCAGATGCCTGAATCCCCATTGTATTTGGAAGTAAATCACTTTTTCTGATTGTTTAGGCTCATAGGTGGAAAGAACTTGGCTTGAGTCTCAAATGCTGAAATGAGTTAAGACTTTGAGGGATTATTAAGAAGGGATGATTGTATTTTGAAATGTGACAAGGACATGAGATTTGGGAGGGGCCAGGGACAGAATAATATAGCTTGGATATTTCTCCCTTCCCAAACTTCATGTTGAAAAGTAATCCTCAGTGTTGGAGATGAGGCCTGGTGAAAGGTGTCTAGGTCATGGAGGCAGATCCCTCATCGTTTGATGCTATCCTCACCACAGTGAGTTCTCATGAGATCTGGTCATTTAAACATATGTGGGGGATTCCCAGGCAAGATGGCCGAATAGGAAGAGCTCCAGTCTGTAGCTCCCAGTGAGATCACTGCAGAAGGTGGGTGATTTCTGCATTTCCAACTGAGGTACCCAGTTCATCTTATTGGGACTGGTTAGACAGTGGATGCAGCCCACAGAGGACCAACAGAAGCAGAGTAGGGTGTCACCTCACCCGGGAAGTGCAAGGGGTCAGGGAACTCCCTCCCCTAGCCAAGGGAGGCCATGAGGGACCGTGCTGTGAGGGATGGTGCTATCCAGCCCAGATAGTATGCTTTTCCCAGGGTCTTCACAACCCACAGACCAGGAGATTCCCTCAGGTGCCTATACCACAAGGGCCCTGGGTTTCCAGCACAAAACTGGGCAGCTGTTTGGGCAGACACCGAGCTAGCTGCAGGAGTTTTATTTCATACCCCAGAGGCACTAGGAATGCCAGCAAGACAGAAACGTTCACTCCCCTGGAAAGAGGACTGAAGCCAGGGAGCCAAGTGGCCCTGCTCAGCGGAACCCACCCCCATGGAGCCCAGCAAGCTAAGATCCTGGCTTGAAATTCTTGCTGCCACCCCAGCAGTCTGAAGTCGACCTGTGATGCTTGAGCTTGGTGGGGAAAGGGGCATCCGCCATATCTGAGGCTTGAGTAGGCAGTTTTCCCCTCACAGTGTAAACAAAGCTTCCAGGAAGTTCAGACTGAGTGGAGCCCACTACAGCTCCACAAAGCTGCTGTACCCAGACTGCCTCTCTAGATTCCTACTTTCTGGGCAGGGCATCACTGAAAGAAAGGCAGCAGCCCTAGTCAGGGGCTTATAGATAAAACTCCCATCTCCCTGGGACAAAGCACCTGGAAGAAGGGGTGGCTGTGGGCGCAGGTTCAGCAGACTTAAACATTTCTGCCTGCTGGCCCTGAAGAGAGCAGCGGATCTCCCAGCACAGTGATCCAGCTCGGTTAAGGGACAGACTGCCTCCTCAAGCGGGTCCTGAACCCTGTGCCTCCTGACGAGGAGACACCTCCCAGCATGAGTCAACAGGCACCTCATATAGGAGAGCTCCGGCTGGCACCTGGCAGGTGCCCCTCTGGGACGAAGCTTCCAGAGGAAGAAGGAGGCAGCAATCTTTGCTGTTTTGCAGCATCTGCTGGTGATACCCAGGCAAACAAGGTCTGGAGTAGAGCCCCAGCAAACCCCAGCAGACCTGCAGAAGAGGGGCCTGACTGTTAGAAGGAAAACTAACAAGCAGAAAGAAATAGCATCAACATCAACAAAAAGGACAACCACGTGAACTCCATCTGAAGGTCACCAACAGCAAAGATCAAAGGTGGATAAATCCATGAAGATGAGGAAAAACCAGCACAAAAAGCCTGAAAATTCCAAAAACTAGAACGCCTCTTCTCCAAAGGAATACAACTCCTTGCCAGCAAGGGAACAAAACTGGATGAAGAATGAGTTTGACAAATTGACAGAAGTAGGCTTCACAAGATGGGTAATAATAAACTCCTCTGAGCTAAAAGAGCATGTTCTAACCCAATGCAAGGAAGCTAAGAACCTTGAAAAAAGGTTAGAGGAATTGCTTACTAAAATAATCAGTTTAGAGAACATAAATGACCTGATGGAGCTGAAAAACACAGCAAAAGAACTTTGTAAAGCATACAGAAGTATCAATAGCTGAATTGATCAAGCAGAAGAAAGGATATCAGAGATTGAAGATCAACTTAGAAATAAAGTATGAAGACAAGATTAGAGAAAAAAGAATACAAAGGAACCAACAAAGCCTCCAAGAAATATGAAACTATGTGAAAAGGCCAAACCTACGTTTCATTGGTGTACCTGAAAGTGATGGGGAGAATGGCAGAAAGTTGGAAAATACACTTCAGGATATTATCCAGGAGAACTTTCCCAACCTAGCAAGACAGGCTAACATTCAAATTCAGGAAATACAGAGAACACCACAAAGATAATCCTCAAGAAGAGCAACCCCAAGACACATAATAGTCAGATTCACTGAGGTTGAAATGAAGGAAAAAAATGTTAAGGACAGCCAGAGAGAAAGATCAGGTTACCCACAAAGGGAAGCCCATCAGACTAACAGCAGATCTCTCTGCAGAAACCCAACAAGCCAAAAGTGAGTTGGGTCCAATATTCACAATTCTTAAGAAAAAGAATTTTCAACGCAGAATTTCATATCCAGCCAAACTAAGCTTCATAAGCGAAGGAGAAATAAAATCCTTTCCAGACAAGCTGATGCTGAGGGATTTTGTCACCACCAGGCCTGCCTTACAAGAATTCCTGAAGGAAGCTCTAAATATGGAGAGGAAAAACCAGTACCAGCCACTGCAAAAGCATGCCGAATTGTAAAGACCATCGACATTATGAAGAAACTGCACCAACGAATGGGCAAAATAACCAGCTACCATCATAATGACAGGATCAAATTCATACATAATAATATTACCCTTGTAAATAAATGGGCTAAATGCCACAATTAAAAGACACAGACTGGAAAATTTGGATACAGAGTCAAGACACATCAGTGTGCTGTATTCAGGAGACCCATCTCTCATGCAAAGACACACATAGGCTCAAAATAAAGGGATGGAGGAATATTTACCAAGCAAACGGAGAGCAAAAAAAAGCAGGCATTGTTATCCTAGTTTATGACAAAACAGACTTAAACAAAGATCAAAAGAGACAAAGAAGGGCATTACATAATGGTAAAGGGATCAATTCAACAAGAAGAGCTAACTATCCTAAATATATATGCACCCAATATAGGAGCACCTATTTTCATAAAGCAAGTCCTAAGAGACCTCCAAAAAGACTTACACTCCCACACAATAGTAGCAGGAGCCTTTAACACCACACTGTCAATATTAGACAGATCAATGAGACAGAAAATTAGCAAAAATATTCAGGACTTAAACTCAGCTCTGGACCAAGCAGACCTAATAGACATCTACAGAACCCTCCACCCCAAATCAATGGAATATACATTCTTCTCAGCACCACATCACAACTAATCTAAAATTGACCACATACTTGAAAGTAAAACACTCCTCAGCAAATACAAAAGAACGGAAATCATAACAAACAGTCTCTCAGACCACAGTGCAATACAATTAGAACTCAGGATTAAGAAACTCACTCAAAACTGCACAATGACATGGGAACTGAACAACCTGCTCCTGAATGATTACTGGGTGAATAACGAAATGAAGGCAGAAATAAATAAGGTCTCTGAAACCAATGAGAACAAAGACACAATGTACCAGAATCTCTGACACACAGCTAAAGCAGTGTTTAGAGGGAAATTTATAGCACTAAATGCCCATGGGAGAAAGCAGGAAAGATCTAAAATCAACATCCTAACATCACAATTAAAAAATCTAGAGAAGCAAGAGCAAACAAATTCAAAAGCTAGCAGAAGACAAGAAATAACTAAGAGCAGAGCAGAACTGAAGGAGATAGAGACACGAAAACCCTTCAAAAAATAAATGAATCCAGGGGCTGGTTTTTTGAAAAGATCAACAAAATAGACCACTAGACAGACTAATAAAAAATAAAAGAGAGAAGAATTAAATAGCCAAGATAAAAATGATAAAAGGGAGATCACCAGTGATCCACAGAAATACAAACTACCATCAGAGAATACTATAAACACCTCTAACCAAATAAACTAGAAAATCTAGAAGAAATGGATAAATTCCTGGACACATACACCCTCCAAGACTAAACCAGGAAGAATTTGAATCCGTGACTAGACTACTAACAAGTTCTGAAATTGAGACAGTAATTAATAGCCTACAAACCAAAAAAAGCCCAGGACCAGAAGGATTCACAGTCGAATTCTACCAGAGGTACAAAGAGGAGCTGGTATCATTCCTTCTGAAACTATTCCAATCAACAGAAAAAGAGGGAATCCTCCCTAACTCATTTTATAAGGCCAGCATCATCTTGATGCTAACACCTGGCAGAGAGACAAAAACAACAAAAAAATTCAGGCCAATATCCCCGATGAATATCGATGTGAAAATCCCCAATAAAATACTGGCAAACCAAATCCAGCAGCACATCAAAAAGCTTATCCACCACAATCAGGTTGGCTTCATCCCTGGGATTCAAGGCTGGTTCAGCATACACAGATCAATAAATGTAATCCATCACATAAACAGAACCAATGACAAAAACCACATGATTATCTCAATAGATGCATAAAAGGCCTTTGATAAAATTCAGCAATGCTTAATGCTAAAACTATCAATAAACAAGGTATTGATGCAACATATCTCAAAATGATAAGAGCTATTTATGACAAACTCACAGCCAATATCATACTAAATGAGCAAAAGCTGGAAGCATTCCCTTTGAAAACTGGTACAAGAAAAAGATGCCCTCTCTCACAACTCCTATTCAACATAGTATTAGAAGTTCTGGCCAGGGCAATCAGGCAAGAGAAAGAAATAAAGAGTTTTCAGATAGGAACACAGGAAGTCAAATTGTCTCTGTTTGCAGATGACATGATTGTATATTCAGAAAACCCCATCATCTCAGCCCAAAATCTCCTCAAGCTGACAAGCAACTTCAGCAAGTCTCAGGATACAAAATCAATGTGCAAAAATCACAAGCATTCCTACACACCAATAATAGACAAACAGAGAGCCAAATCATGAGCAAACTCCCATTCACAAATGCTACAAAGAGAATAAAATACCTAGGAATACAACTTACAAGGTATGTGAAGGACCTCTTCAAGAAGTACAAACCACTGCTCAAGGAAATAAGAGAGGACACAAACAAATGGAAAAACATTCCATGCTCATTGATAGGAAGAATCAATATCATGAAAATGGCCATACTGCCCAAAGTAATTTATAAATTCATTGCTATCCCCATCAAGCTGCCACTGACTTTCTTTACAGAATTAGAAAAAACTACTTTAAATTTCATGTGGAACCAAAAAAAGAGCCTGCACAGCCAAGACAATCCAACGAAAAAAGAACAAAGCTGGAGGCATCACACTACCTGACTTCAAATTATACTACAAAGCTACAGTGACCAAACAGCATGGTACTGGCACCAAAACAGATATATAGACCAATGGAACAAAACAGAGGCCTCAGAAGTAACACCACACATCTACAACCATCTGATCTTTGACAATCCGGACAAAAACAAGCAATGAGGAAAGGGTTTCCTATTTTATAAATGGTGTTGGGAAAACTGTCTAGCCATATGCAGAAAATTGAAACTGGACCCCTTCCTGACACCTTATACAAAATTTAACTCAAGATGGATTAAAGATTTAAATGTAAGACCTAAAACCATAAAAACGCTAGAAGAAAACCTAGGCAATACCATTCAGGACATAGGCATGGGCAAAACTTCATGACTAAAACACCAAAAGCAACGGCAACAAAAACCAAAATTGACAAATGGAATCTAATTAAACTAAAGAGCTGCTGCACAGCAAAAGAAACTGTCATCAGAGTGAACAGGCAACCTACAGAATGGGAGAAAATTTTGGCAATCTATCCATCTGACAAAGGGCTAATATCCAGAATCTAGAAAGAACTTAAACAAATTTACAAGAAAAAAGAAACAACCCCACTAAAAAGTGGGTGAAGGATATGAAAGAAGACATTTATGAAGCCAACAAACATATGAAAAAAAGCTCATCATCACTGGTCATTAGAGAAATGCAAATCAAAACCACAATGAGATACCATCTCACACCAGTTAGAATGGCGTTGATTAAAAATTCAGGAAACAACAGATGCTGGAGAGGATGTGGAGAAATAGCAATGCTTTTACACTGTTGGTGGGAGTGTAAATTAGTTCAACCATTGTGGAAGACAGTGTGGCAATTCCTCAAAGATCTAGCACCAGAAATACCATTTGACCCAGCAATCCCATTACTGGATACATACCCAAATGATTATAAATCATTCTACTATAAAGACACATGCACATATATGTTTATTGCAGCACTGTTCACAATAGCAAAGAGTTGGAACCAACCCACATGCTCATCAATGATAGACTGAATAAAGAAAATATGGCACATATACAACATGGAGTACTATGCTGCCATCAAAAAGGATGAGTTTGGGCCAGGTGTGATGGTTCATGCCTGTAATCCCACAGCTTTGGGAGTCCAAGGTGGGCAGATCACAAGGTCAGGAGATCGAGACCATCCTGGCTAACACAGTGAAACCCTGTCTCTACTAAAAATACAAAAAATTAGCTGAGCATAGTGGTGGGCGCCTGTAGTCCCAGCTACTCGGGAGGCTGAGGCAGAAGAATGGCATGAACCCAGGAGGCAGAGCTTGCAGAGAGCAGAGATCAACAGAGCGAGACTCTGTTTCAAAAAAAAAAAAAAAAGCATGAGTTCATATCCTTCGCAGGGACATGGATGAAGCTGGAAACCATCATTCTCAGCAAACTAACACGGGAACAGAAAACCAAACACTGCATGTTCTCACTCATAAGTAGGAGATGAACAATGAGAACACATGAACACAGGGAGAGGAACATCACACACTGGGGCTTCTCGGGGGTGTGGAGGGCTAGGGAAGGAATAGCATTAGGAGAAATACCTAATGTAGATGATGGGTTGATGGGTGCAGCAAACAACCGTGGCATATGTATCCCTATGTAACAAACCTGCACATTCTGCAGATGTATCCCAGAACATAAAGTATAATTCAAAAAAGAAGGAAGAAATTTAAAAATAAAATAAACAAACAAACCTCCACCAATTTAAAATAACAAACAAACAAAAACTTGGAATTTTTGAGCTCCTGGTGGTCCTGAATTTATCACAAAGGATTCTTGAATTTATAAAAATATTGGCATTTTGTGTAGATTGAGTAATTGACATGCCTTTACACATGTGTACATATGTATGCTATAAAAAAAGAAAAAACTACTTTAAATTTCATGTGGAACCAAAAAAGAGCTCATATAGCCAAGACAATCCCAAGCAATAAGAACGAGGCTGGAGGCATCATGCTACCTGACTTCAAACTATACTACAAGTCTACAGTAACTGAAACAGCATGGTACTGGTACCAAAACAGATATATAGACCAGTGGAATAAAACTGAGGCCTCAGAAATAACACCACACATCTACAACCATCTGGTCTTTGACAAACCCAACAAAAACAAGCAATAGGGAAAGGATTCCCTATTTTATAAATGGCATTGGGAAAACTGGCTGGCCATATGCAGAAAACTGAAACTGGGCCCCTTCCTTACACCTTATACAAAAGTTATCTCAAGATGGATTAAAGATTTAAACATAAGACCTAAAACCATAAAAACCCTAGAAGAAAACCTAGGCAATACCATTCAGGACATAGGCATGGGCAAAAACTTCATGACTAAAACACCAAAAGCAACGGCAACAAAAGCCAAAATTGACAAACGGAATCTAATTAAACTAAAGAGTTTCTGCACAGCAAAAGAAACTATCATCAGAGTGAACAGGCAACCTACAGAATGGGAGACAATTTTTGCAATCTATCCATCTGACAAAGGGCTAATATCCTGAATCTAGAAAGAACTTAAACAAATTTACAAGAAAAAAACAAACAAGACCATCAAAAAGTGGGTGAAGGATATGAACAGACACTTCTCAAAAGAAGACATTTATGAGGCCAACAAACATATGAAAAAAAGCTCATCATCATTGGTCATTAGAGAAATGAAAATAAAAACCACAATGAGATACCATCTCATGCCAGTTAGAATGGCATTCATTAAAAATTCAGGAAACAACAGATGCGGGAGAGGATGTGGAGAAATAGCAATGCTTTTACACTGTTGGTGGGAGTGTAAATTAGTTCAACCATTGTGGAAGACAGTGTGGCAATTCCTCAAAGATCTAGAACCAGAAATACCATTTGACCTAGCAATCCCATTACTGGGTATATACCAAAGGATTATAAATCATTGTAGTATAAAGTCACATGCATACGTTTGTTTATTGCAGCACTGTTCACAATAGCAAAGACTTGAAACCAACCCAAATGCCCATCAATGATAGACTGGATTAAGAAAATGTGGCACATATATACCATGGAATACTATGCAGCCATAAAAAAGATTAGTTCATGTCCTTTGCAGTGACATGGATGAAGCTAGAAACCATCATTCTCAGAAAACTAACACAGGAACAGAAAACCAAACACCACATGTTCTCACTCATAAGTAGATGAACAATGAGAACATATGGGCACAGGGAGAGGAACATCACATACCAGGGCCTGTCAGGGGGTTGGGGGAAAGGGGAGGCATAGCATTAGGAGAAATATCTAATGTAGATGATGGGTTGATGGCTTCAGCAAACCACCATGGCACATGTATACCTATGTAACAAACCTGCACATTCTGCACATGTATCCCAGAACTTAAAGTATTATATATATATGACACCTCCACCCCAATACTCACTTGCTTCTGCTCCCACCATGTGGAATGCTCTCCCTTTGCCTTCCACTATTCACGCTCTCCCTTTACCTTCCACTATGAGTAAGCTCCCTGAGACCTCCCCAGAAGTGGAGTAGATGCTGGTGCCACACTTCCTATACAGCCTGCAGAACCATGAGCCAATTAAACCTGTTCTCTTTCTAAATGTTTTTAAAGCCCATGAAAGACATGATTCATATAATTTACATCTGTAGGGTTCTTACAGAATAAGGCATGGGGGGGTCTAATGTACATATACTAACAATATTATAAAGAACTAAGACAAAAATGTTGAACCTTACAGCGTCAATCAAAAACAGAATTCAACAGAGGGGAAGCTGTTATTTCCCTCAGATTTCAGCCTAGCACTCTAAAGCAGATAAAAGTAAGTGCTATATTGAGAAAGTCTTTTGTGGAAGAAGGTGCTAAATCTCCAATTACACCTCAAAAAAAAAAAAAAAACCTCAATAGTTGCTCATCACAAATGATGACACATATTTTGAGATCAAAAGTCAGCCACCTGCCTGGTGCATACAGCAAAAGAAAAATTTTTTAAAAATCTATCCTATACTCTGTGATAATGTAAGTTTGATAAGAAAAATGATAGAAAAGATTAATAAATAGCATAGCTGTATGTTCATAGTTAAAATTAACGGCCTTCAGAGTTGTATTCTGACTCCCTGATGAGTGCCCAAAAATGTCCATTTGAAATCTATGAAGTCTTATGTTGTAATTTGGGATCACGAGGTGAAAGAATTAATTATAAAATAATTTTGCAAGCCATTATCAATTTATACACAGTAAAAATCACATGTATATGTATAGACATATATGTGTGCATATATGTATTTTATATATATGTAATTTGTAATTTTCTATAAAATGCCTATCTTTCATACCCCTCCTTTTAACCCTTAAGACTAAAATGTTAATTCTTATGAATTGAAAGAAAAATATCAAATTGAGGTGTGTGTGTTTGTGTGTGCATACACAAATATATGCATTTTCTAGTATATGCAAGTCTGTCCAAACAGTAAGTTATGTAGCAAATCACAATTTGTCAGGTGTGGCACTGGGTAGCTTACAGTTATTTGTTTTGGTTCAATGCTTATAGCCTTAGAAACAAAGGTGCTCTATTCTGTGCACATTTAAAAGCCATTTCATAAACTTGAAATGCCAACAGTTTCCCATAAATGTTGCTGTAATTATGTTAAATCACCTAATAATATTCCAGGAAAAAAAGTGACTTACCTGTGTTATGCCCAAGTTCATTTTACAGAAAACAACAGCATGGCCTAGAGCTTGGTGATTTTATTCTTTGTTTTCATTTTTGTTTTTTAATCAAGATATCTGTCATAGTTCAATTACTGTTATGGTTTTCAAGAAGCCACCTTTAGGCAGGGATAAAAAATGTTTCAATTGATTTAAAGAATACTGATTAATGTGAAAGATTAATAGACTAGGGAGATACATGAAAGACATCTTTTGTGGCTCAAAATCTCCAATCTGAATCATATCTACCAACATGGCAAATCATAAGAGATTATTTTACATTCAAATCGATTACCATTTCATTGTTAGTCTGCATACAGCTTCTTTCAGAAATTCCATTTTCACAAGTGAAAATAATGAGAAAATACAGTCTACACAAATATTTAAAAAAACTAAAATAATCACCTGCTAAAGGCTTTTCTCATAAAAGTATCAAAACTTCTGAATAAGCAACTATATATTCACACTCAAAACAATCAACATTTTTGTTGGTTTGTATTTTGTTGTTTATGAAGCATTTTTATTACCTGGGTTTATAGCGACAGTGAATAAAATATATTTGGATAGCTTTTTTTGTGTTATGCATCAAGATCTCACCTACAACCATTCTCTGCACTTTTCATAACAAGTTATATTCATAGGTTCTAGCTATGGTGCTTGGAGTGTGTAGTACTTAGGAGGCCAACGAACAAACTGCCTCCATCATCAGCCTAACCATACCTGGTCAAGGTATCCAAAGTAAATGAAATGAAATTCCTGTTTTGCAGTCAAAAAAAACAATTGAATGCTGTTCCCCCTCAAAATTCTTTTAACTTTATTAGATATTTGAAACTTTTCATAATAGAATGTTGGAAAAAGGTCAAATAAACTGCTATTCATATGGTTCAACCTAATAGTATTCCTTAATTCTGTATCGTTGAATTTCTTAAAGTAGATTCCTAAGCCTTCCCTGCCTTGATCCCAATTAAATTGGACATTTAATTGACCAATGTCCCAGATCCTAGACCAGGAATGACAAACATATGATACACACTCTGCCACTCACAATCTGTGTGAAACAGCAGTGAAGTTGAGTGAATAGGGCCTCTCGGCACCTCCAGGGATACATCCCCCGAGTTAACTCCCTTCATTTCTAAACATAGGCCACCCAAAATTTCCCTATGGTCATGTGGCCCCTAGTTATCAACACAGAAACCATCCACGATTTTCTTTAGGGCCGATACTGCAACTTCAGCCCCCAACTCTTGGGAGTTCCAGTGTGCTTTTTCCACCTAGTTCTCAGTTTGAGCAGTCTCTTAATCTCACCACATACAGTCTGCATAGCGCCTTCAGCACCATCTTCCAGGATTTTCCCAGTTTATTCTTCTTTCTTTTTTATAATATTACATAAATTCATAATTCTCCACCAGTTTCAAGATCCCCTGGCATGTCTGTTGATTATGAGTACTTGATCAATGCTTTCCTGCGTGTAGATACCAAGTAATCAGTCATGTAACCTGTTTTGAGTGGTGACAGTCCATGGTTCTAAAATGACTACATGCAGTGGGAAAGGGTATCACTAGGTAAATGAGACAACTAGAATATTTAAACATTCAATCAACATTTACCGAGCCCTTAATATGAGCCAAGAATTTATCATGCTAGCCAGTCAAAAAAGGCAGCTTCTCCTCACAGGCCTATGACGACTCCAATGAATTCCAGTGTAAAGATCTTTTTCTTTTTGGTTAAGGTACAAGTTTCCATTTGTCAATGTTTACATTCGCTATTGATTTTCTATTACAGAAAGCTAAGATATGGCTCTCTCACACCACACAAAACACAAACACACACGTACCCTTTGCCCCAGTATCATTATGGTTTTTTTCTTAAATCACTATATAGTTTGCATTTTTCTAAAGAGCTGATCCATGCAATGCATTTTTTGTTACAATTTCTTTTTTGTATAGCTTTTTGTTTTTAAGATTTTATTTTCAGAAAAAGTTTTCAATCTTGGAATCTTGCAATATTTGATCCGTTTGTTTTGTTAGTCATCTAAAGTAGACCTTATCTCTGATCTTAATAGGTTTAGATTAGCCCCACTTCTCAACCTCAACAGTTTTTAGAAGACTCACTAACTGTACATAAGGAGGTTAACAACATCCAGCGTCTCCTAAATCATAATTGGCCCATAGTATGCAGGTAAAGAAGACACATTCAACTGAAAGACTACATACATTGTCTTATTTATGTGCATATTTCCTCCCTTTTATCAGTAGACATTTTATTGCTAAACTTACTGAATTAAAATTACCCATATTTCCCTGACTATTGCCAACCAGGTATCTAGGAAACTCCAGAATTCCTGCAATTCTCCTTTGAAGATTGTTCCTACTTCTACTGCAACCCCATGTAGAGAAGCACCTGAATGCTTATAAAAAGCAAAAACACCTATTGCTTCATTTACATTAACCAAAAAAAGTCAAGTCAAAATCATTTTATAACTCTCATCAAGCTTTAAAAATCACAAGCACACAATGAGGGAATTAAGAGGAAAAAGTCTATATTGAATTTAAAATTTGTGAATAACATAAGAAAATATAACATTGTTAAATAGGTGTACATTAAATAACACTAAATTTATAGTATCACTGAAAGAATTTCCAAATTTGTTGAAAGTTTGCTGTTTTAAATGTACATAGTGCCGGGCGTGGTGGCTCACGCCTGTAATCCCAGCACTTTGGGAGGCTGAGGCGGGCAGATCACAATGTCAGGAGATCGAGACCATCATGGCTAACACAGTGAAACCCCGTCTCTACTAAAAATATAAAAAATTAGCCGGGCGCGGCGCCTGTAGTCCCAGCTACTCGGTAGTCTGAGGCAGAAGAATGGCGTGAACTCGGGAGGCGGAGCTTGCAGTGAGCCGAGATCGCGCCACTGCACTCTAGCCTGGGCGGCAAAGCGAGACACCATCTCAAAAAAAAAAAAAAAAAAAATGTACATAGTAATTTGGATTAGATCAACCTGTTTGTATAAGCAAGTTAAGTTTTTGAATGCAAATAGATAATTGTGCACAAGAATATCTTCAAATATCTTGAAAAAATCCTTCATAAATAAAGCTCCCCTTAGTTATGTTGTTTCCTTAAAAGGGTATGTTTCAAATAATGTTAAAACTAATTTTTGTCTTGTCTACTTCCTTGCAAACACAAATCTTTAATCAGTAAAGTCTATATTTATAACACCAAATCAAAATAACATGGTTTTAAAATAAAATATTTTAACAAATTTACATATCAACTATTCAGACTTCTGTTTTCAAAATTACCTTTCATTTTTCAATTTGAAAAGCAAAACATAGAATAAGCCTTACATATTTATTAAGAAGGACATTTGAAGTTACTGTATGCTTTCATTGTCCAAAGTTATCAGAATTACAAATCCCACATTGTATTTATAGATAATTTCTTCTAGACCTTATTACTGCAAATACCTCACCTACTGTGAAAGAGTTTACTAGAATTTAATCTTTTATTCAAAACTGAGTATTTTGTGGTACAAGCTTTGAAAATATTAATATTTTCTCCAGTGTGAGCTCAACACAGTAAAAGAAAATAAGCCATGCAACATAATTCATTCTGTCCGGAAGGAATCAAAGTCATCCTACACAGTAAAGACTCAGGTATATGAGTGGTGAATCAGGCCTAAGAACCTACCCAGAAGGTTCAAATTGCCATGTACATAACAAATTGGCAAGAAGAAAGAAGAAAGAAGGAGAAAGAAGGAAGGAGAGGAAGAGGAAGAAGGAGAAGGAGAAGGAGAAGGGCAAAAAGAAGGAGAAGAAGGCAGGTTTCTGACAAGCCATTTGCGCATAATATTGTACATCTTCTGTACAGCTTTGAACTTAAACCAAACACAGACTAAAGTGGGTAAACTTAAATTTATCAAAAAAGTTAGAGGATTTGAAACAATAAGTGCTCAGCTACTAAACGAAACGATTTTTAAAGGTTAGTCATTAACTCTGGTTTCCCCACAACTATCTAATCCTAAATCATAAAACTGAATATATTTATTGGTCCTAGAGGTTTCACCAGCAGACACACAAGTGAAATAAGGCAAGAAACATAAATGTAACACACATTGTAACCAAAATAGTAAACTGTCATTATTTCCAAATGATAAGATAATGCAGAAAATTCTAAGAAATACACCAAAAATTATTAGACTCAATAATTAAATTTTGGAAATCACATGATACACTCACTATGCAAAAATCAATTGCATTGTTAAATACTCACAATGAAAATTTGAAAGCTGAAAGTTTTAAGTACCAAACCTGTAAAATTATTAAGGAAAATTTAATAAAATATGTACAAAATATATATGCCAAAAATTATAATGTATTAATGAGAGAAATTAAGACCTAAGTAAGTAGAGGAATACACCATGTTCATTAATAGAAAGATTCATTATTGTTAAGATGTCAATTTTCTCTAAATTGAGCTATAGATTCAATGTAATCACAAACAAAATTCTAGAAAGATTTTTTTTGGTGGAAATTGACAAGTTAATTTTACACTGTATATAGATATGCAAAAGAACCAGAAAAACACTATTTCAAAACATAAGACAAAGTTGAAAGACTTAAGTAATCAAGGCAGTGTAGAATTAGTATAAAGCTAGACCTACAGATCAATGGAAAGACAGAAATCAGAAAAAGAGCAATACACATATAGGTACCCTATTTATAACAAGATGTCTTTGGAGGAAAAGATCCTCTTTTAAAAACTCCTCTCTTAAAAAAAAGTAAGTAAATTAAAAACTCATTTTAATTTACCTTAAAATGAATCATTGACAGAAATGTAAAAGCTAAAATTATACAATGTCCAGAACACAGCATAGAAGAAAATCTTTATAATCTTTCAGTAGTCAACATTGTCTGAGATAGGCACAAAAATATAAACCGTCACAAGAAAAAAATTGGCAAATTTGACTTTTCAATATTTAAGACTTTTGCTCTTGGAAAGACACCACTAATAAAATGAAAAGTCAAGCCAATAACTGGAAGAAAATATTTGCTAACCATTTAACTGCCAAGGAATTTTTATGTAGATTGTATTTTAAAACCCTTTAAACTCAATAATAAAAAGATAAACAATTAAATTTTAAAATGGACAAAATATTTGAATATATACTTTATCAAAGAAGATATATGAATGGCTAATAAGCACACAAAAAGATGCCCAACATTTATTCATTAGGGAAATGCAAGTTGGAAGACCAACAAGATATCATGACACACTCACTAGAATGGCTAAAATTAAAAGAACTAAAAATACCACGTTTTGGTGAGGTTTTGGAGCAACTGTTACTCTCATGTATTGCTGGTAAAAACATTAAGTTGTACAACCACTTTGGTTCTCATAAAGTCATGCATACACCTACCATATGACCTAGTAATTTTACTCGTAGAGAAATGAAAACGTATGCTTACACAGAGACTTGTTTAAGAATGTTCACAGAAGCTTTATTCATAATTGCCAAAAGCTAGCGAGAACTCAAAGGCCTACCAAAAGGCAAATGAGTAAATAACTTGTGATATGCCCATTGAATGCCCATGAATTGAAATTCAAATTGAAATTCCAATTGAAATACATAATGATATATCCATATCATGAACTCAGTAATAAAAATGGGACAATTTACTGAAACATGCAACAACATGGATAATCTTAAGCACATGCCGAGCCAAAAAAAAAAGCGATTCTTGACACAAAAGTAGTACATACTGTATGATTCCACTTATATGAACTCTAGAAAAGCCAAAAACTATAATGACAGAATATGTATCAGTGTTTGTCTAGGTATAGGAATGGCAGAGGATTGACTTGAATGTTGGGGGATGATGGAAGTGTTCTATGTCTTGATGTAGTGAAAGTTACGCAGGAGTATACATTTTTCAAAGACCATTAAAATGTATGCTAGTGCTGCATTTATTATATATAAAATATATCCCAAATAATATTAATATTTAAATGATATAAATATTTAAGTGACAGGAAAAGATAAATCATTAAAATTCTTTTTAAAAGTTGCCGTTATCTATATAAATATCAGACAAAATGGGCTTCAAAGTTAAAAACATCACTGGAGTTAAACTGGGTACCAGGATAAATTTTTTTTTTTTTTTGACACGGAGTCTCGCTCTGTCATCTAGGCTGGAGTGCAATGGCACAATCTCGGCTCACTGCAACCTCCCCAACCCAGGTTCAAGCAATTCTCCTGTCTCAGCCTCCTGAGTAGCTCAGACTACAAGTGCACGCCACCACACCCGGCTAATTTTTGTATTTTTAGTAGAGACAGGGTTTCACCATATTGGTCAGGCTGGTATCAAACTCCTGACCTCAGGTGATCCGCCCACCTCGGCCTCCTAGAAATTTTATATTTTATCCATTTAAAATTATAATGGCTTCAAAATATACAACTCAAAAATTGACAGACCTATAAAAATATGTAAACAAACCCACACTCATGGTAGAAAATTTTAACTCATCTCTCTCATTGAGAAAACAGACAAAAATCTTTAAGAGGATAGAAGATTTATCAGTGTGATTAACAAAAAATGTAATGAATATATAAAATCATTTTAATAAACTTACACAAAATACATATTCTTTTCAAACTCTTAGAAAACATTTACAAAAACTGACCATATTCTGGACATAAATTGGGAATCTAGCAACATGTAAAAAGAATACTACCTTATTACCAGGTGGAATTTGTCTTGGAAATGCAAGGCTGTCTAAACATTCAAATCTCAATCAATGTAATCCATCATATTTACAGATGATTTAAAGAAGAAAAACAATGTGATCATCTCAACTGATACAGAAAGATATTTGACAAAATTCAACATTCATTCATGACCTATTAACAAACTAGTAACAGAAGGGAATTTTCTTAGACTGATAAAAAGCATCTGAAACAAATTGGTTCACATCATACTTAGTGACAAAACACCGAATGTTTTCACTTAAGATTGTGAACAAGTCCTGAATGATTTTTTTTAGAAGAAGAGCATAAATGGTAAATTTCCCAAGTTCTTTCCTGTATTTAAATGTCTTTGTTTTGCTCTTATATTTCACTGTTTGATTTATTGTATTATATTTCAACACATTTTAGAGGAAACATTCATCTCCATATATCAACTTCTGGAACCCTCCTCTTTCTTCAAGGTCCCAGCTTTAAGCCTTTTCTCATTTTCCCATCCAGGAAAGATCTCTTCATTTAGTGACTTCTCCACTATCTTTGTAATTTTTTGATACCAACAATATTCTGTGGTATGTAACAGTTACTTTTGTAATTCCTTCTCCCTGTTTAGTTAAAATTCCCGAGAAGAGTTGCTATCTTTTCTTAGCAACACCCAACTAAGACCCTATATAAAGCTGGTAATCAATTAATATTTCTTAAACAAAATAGAAATTTGCTGCTGAACTGGAGAAACATTTCACCTGGCCTGTCATCTAAAAGCACTGGATTACTCATTTCATTCACTTAGGCACCTTTTGCTGTTTAGTGCACCTTCTGCTGACATAGTTGTTAAAATTCAAATGAGGCATTAACTAACTGCCACTCAACTCTTTTTACAGGCATCTAGTGCTTTAGTGGCTTCACATAACCAAAGGACTATAGCAGTTAAGTAAAGCAAATATGACACTTTTCTAAATAGAAAAATATAATTAACAGTATCTCTTCTTTTCCAATTGAAATTCAAAATGCTCTTTTAGTTCTCCTATCAAGGGAAATTACTAAACTGATGCTTCACAAAATTGTGTACTATTAGAATCCAAAGCATAATTATGGAATTGTAGGGACAGGTAATATAATTTTTGCCTTCATTCATCTCACAGATGGTAAGGTCAATAGTTTTGAGAAGTTTGTCAGAAATGGAACTCAAAAGCTGAAAAAAAAGGACATTTATCTATAATGAACTTCAACTAAAAACTCAGTGTCTTGTGCCAAACACACTTCCAAATATACTTTTTAATTACTGTTCTAAGGCACAGAATTTTTTTTTAAATGACAAAATATGCAAAAGAAAATCAAGCCTTTTACCAATAACATGGTATTTCCCAAAGTGGAGAGATCCATGCTCATTATCAGTAAATATTCATTTTCTCCTTTTTTCACAGCTGGGGGTCTCACTCTGCACTCTGTTGCTGAGGCTGGAGTGCATTGTTGCAGTGGTGTGATCATAGCTCACTGCAGTCTCGAACTCCTGGGCTCCAGTGATCCTCCTGCCTCTCAGCCTTCCAAGTAGCTAGGACCACTGGTGTGCACCACCATGGCTAGCTAATTTTTGTTATTTTTTGTAGAGAGAAGATCTTGCTTCATTTCATTTTCTTTAGATGTGATATGGGAATCCTACTGACCTATGTAGGTAGCGTATGTGTTTAAAACTAGTTAAATATATTAAATAACTATGCACTACATGTATTTAGCATTGTACTTTGCACATGCCCTTTTGACAAGATCAGACAATACTTACTTTGTTAATAAAGACCAGACTATTTGGGGGAAGAGGAAAAATGAAAAGATACCCAATTCTTAGCACAGTGCATGGCACCTGGTAATCACTCCATAAATATTTGTAGAGGAAGGAAGGGAAAGAGGGAGGGAAGGAAGGAAAAAAGGAAAGAGTGAATCAAATAAATAAGTCTTTCGAGCTCTATTCAAAATAGGTGTTTTGCAGTTATAAGTGTAAACAAAGATGAATCAAAAATGCAAGCAACTATTGAGAATGAAAACAAATTCTTCACAGAAGCCATAAATCAACTGCTACAATTTTATTTCAGATTCCTCTAAATGATTTATTTCCAAATTCAAAAAACCTCCATGAGTTTAATTAAGAACTTTTTTCCATGGTTTAGACTTCCTCCCTCAATCATAGGATTTTCTTTGTTTTTTTTTTTGTTGTTGTTGTTATTTGTTTGTTTTGTTTTTCTTACAGGTAGCTCAGGAACAGCAAATTTTTGAATCTACCTCTTACCTATCACTACTGCACAAAATAAATGGTGTTCGTGGAGAAAACCTTATCTTCTAATAGCATAAACTATTTTATTTGATTGAGATTTTATAGTGCTATTTGTCTCAACTGCTTGCCTTGTGTCTTTAAAGCTGTCAGGAATAATTTTATAAGAAATTTGATATTATCAGAAGTTAAAGAGAAATAATACAGTAGTCTCCCTTATCCACAGTTTTGCTTTCCACAGTTTCAATTATCCAGGGTCCACTGCTATCCAAAAACAGATGAGTACAATACAATAAGATATTTTGAGAGGCAAATCACATTCACAATGTTTATTACAGTATATGGTTATAATTATTCTATTTTATTATTGGTTATTGTTGTTCATCTCTTACTGTGCCTAATTTGTTAATTAAATTTTATTAAATGTATAGAAAAAAAGCATATATATTTAAATATATATAAATACACACACACACACACATATATATATATATGGTTCAATACTGTCCATGATTTCAGGTATCTACTAGACATCTTGGAATGTATCCCCCTGAGGGTAAGGAAGACTGCTGTATGGACAAAGAATTTAGAGAGAAATGAGGGCCATCTGTGTATAGAACCAGGAAAGTGATGCCTCTTAGACAGAAGGTCCTGTCAGGGATGTTTATCAGAAGTCTTCTTCCTACAGCTCTGATACTGCAGGTTTATATAGCTGGTGTCTGACCTAACTGCAATTCCCCAAATAGACTTCTTTTTTTTTTTTTGAGATGGAGTTTTGCTCTGTCGCACAAGCTGGAGTGCAGTGGCACAATCTCGGCTCACTGCAACCTCTGCCTCCCAGGTTCAAGGGATTCTCCTGCCTCAGCCTCCCGAGTAGCTGGGATTACAGATCCAAGCCACCACGCCCAGCTAATTTTTTGTATTTTTGTAGAAATGGGGTTTCACCATGTTGGCCAGGGTGGTCTCGAACTCCTGACCTCAAGTAATCTGCCAGCCTCGGCCTGCCAAACTGCTGGGATTACAGGGGTGAGCCACCACGACTGGCCCCAAAATAGACTTCTTTACAGAAAAAAAAATGCACAGAATGGCCGAAATTAATATTAGCAGCATCTGTAGCAATCATCTCATTTCATAGGTCTATATTTACCTTTTGATACACATTACATTCTTGTGAGCTTAGGGACTGTAAGTTTTGCTCTGGGACTGATCAGGGCTGAATGACCTGGCCATCCAAATTTCAGAACTGCAGTAAAAAGAAAGGAAATCATGAGGTATAGAGAAGTAACAATCAGACTTTCTTGGCCATCAATCCATTTTCCTCTCAGGCAGTGCAATGATTTGTTTTTGGAGCAAGAGCAAGTGTGACTCTGGTCAGTATACATGGCAAAATCACTTATTCAAATATATTTGTAGATTCCCTTAATTTCTTTTGATGTAGTATTTTAGTAATAAGAGTTGGAATGAATGAGGAAAAAAACAAGTTAAAAAACAGTAGATATAAGCCAAGCATTTGGGATGGCCAGAAGCATTTTCCAAAATTGACATCTCTTTGAAATCCTTCATATATAACTGAGTAAAAAGTATGCAGGAACAATTCTTGCTATTCCCCTTACTTAACTAGAAAAATTGCAAAATTTCATGTGTACCAGGTTAGTTATTGTTACTATTTATATTAGCAAAATATTAGGAATATTGTAATCACTCATAAATAGGGAACTAGTTTGAATAAGCTATGGTACATCCTTAAAATGAAGTATTATGCAGCCATAAATAGGAGGAAAATCTCTGTTTTTATCTAAAGTAATTTTGAAGATGTATTGCTAAGTAAAAATAAACAAAGTAGAGAACAATGTATATTACTCTTTTGTGTAAGGAAGGAGGAAAATGCAAACAGACATGTGCATTTCCTTATATTTGCAAAAAGAAAATACTGGAAAGATAAATAAAAACTAATAAAAATGCCAACTTATACAAAGAGGAAGAGATGGGAGAAGGAAGAATACAATGAAGAATTTCTTCAATATACCTTATTATATACTTTGAAATCATGAAAATGTTTTACATACTGAAAAACGAAAATAAAAAATAAAAAGCAGTCCATAAAAATTGAAAACAAATTTAAACAACAAAAACATTCCTGTGTCAAGGTAGTGCTTTTGCTGTATACTCTTTGTAGAATACATACAAAGGGTAATTTTTGCCCTTTACATCTTTTTATTTGCCTTAAACATTTCACAACAAAGTTTTTTAAACTTTTAAAACTTACACCTGTGTCACATGTTTGGGGGAAAATTATCACTTTCTGTAACAGTAGAAATCAATTGGATAGTGCAAATCAAAAAGTAAATTGTTATTTTATCCAAAAGCTTATTTTAATAAGAAACCTGCTGTTGTTAATCATTATATATATCATCTTTTCAAAAGAAGCTGTTTTCTAATGAAGGGGATCCCAAATGCATAGTGCATTTTCAGGACAGAGAAAACTAGGGATGTATCTTCAGCTTTGTTAGATTTATGCTTCCCCTGGAAAGATCTTGCCATCCACAAAGCAGTGCTTTTGAGTTCCATTATGTTTATGGAAACAAAACAAAATAATGTGTCTATGAGTCTATTACAAATGAAAAGAAATAAAATAACTTTAAGATCAATTTCTAGAGTGTTTGATAAAATTTTAAATGTCACATTAAATATCTTACAACTTACCACATTATAAAAGAAGCATCAGATAGGGTTTATACCTAAACCCTAACAGAGAACAAAACAGGCTTGCATCAGATCCTTTGTTGAAATATTTCAAAATGATGTTTATTTTCTAAGTAAAAAGAAAAAGGTTAGATATACTAATGAGGGATTTTTTTGCTCCTTAGTTCTGCTAAAATCCAGGTTCTTGTCTAATGACCAGGAATAATTAGGCACACAGACACATTGAAAGGCAAGGAGAGCAAAATTTATTAAAAGAAAGCTCTCAGCAAAAAAAAAGAGGGGTCCTGCCAATAGGCTCCCACCTCACAGATTGAATACCAGGCCACCATACACAAGCTGAAGAGGCCAGGCTCCTCCCCGCTGCATAAGGTGCAAATCCCCAGTGGTTCCACCCCACTCTCCCAGTGTGAAGGTGGGCCCCCAGTCCATTGAGGGCATGCCAAGACAAGGCCCTGGGCAGGTTCCCTCATCTGCACAAAAGCATCTGTATACATCTGATGTATACACTTGTGGGGTGGGTCAGAGATTCTCTGAGTACCCTCCCTTATCTGCCTCCTGCATCTATCATTCCCCCCTCTAAAGAAGTACATCTAACTGCCATTAGAATAGGGATAAGGATAAGGACAAAGACTGATATTAACTGCCTCTTGATGACATGGGGTGCTGTTTTGGGGAAGTGGCAGTCAGAGCTCCCTCAAAAACCTATCTAAGCATCCCCAACAAAAGGGGCCATCATCCAAGGCTCCGGTTGCGTGACTGTTTGGAGTTTGATGGCCCAAAGGCAAGAAGAGACAAACCAAGTTATTAGAAAATATGTATCAAAACAAAACAAGGTGGGGTAAGAACAGCTCAAAAATCCCAAAGCTTTTACCAGTTTGCACAGGGAGAGGGAGGCCAAAAGCCTGACTGGTAAACAAACAAACAAAAAAAAATTTACCCTTTTGCAGACATGTCAGTGTTCTGGCTTCACTTACTCCAAGCCCAATCCTAAGCCAACCAGTTTAAGGTTTGGGAAATGAACTTTTCCAAGTTTCAAGGATGTATATGAGGGGAGTGTCCCATAGTACAGAGACACAATTACCTATCTGTGAAAAGAAGACAGAGGAGGAAAAGGAAAAAAGAAGGCATTTTTTTCAAAAGCATCCCAGGGGTTCAGGATATATTCAAAAGGAGTACAGACTGCAGAAGAATGGCTACTCATCTAGAAAGAGGGGAACAAGCATCCCTGGTTCCTTTCTCTTCCTAGTGAACGCCCAGAGTACATAAGGGAGAGAAAGTGAGGCATCCTTTCTTTCTTCCATCCTTATATCCCTAAGTCCCAGCAACTGCAAAAGGGTGCTGCCCATGGGTGTCAAAGCGGCTTTCGCCAATGTTAAAAGGAGGGCCTAGGGGTGGGAATACCCACTCTTACCTACATACAACCTGTCTCGCCTGCTGTGAGTAGCCTTCGAGTTCCCGAGACTTCATTTATTCCATGAATACTAGCATGACCTTTATCCATGGAATGAGAGGCTTGGCTTAATTGTCAGGAATTAGTCATGCTCACCTGTGCAGTGCCTTTTAACTTGTGTTATGGTCTGCCTCTGGATTCCTTGAATCCAGTTTTTGTTTTGTTTTGTTTTGTTTTGTTTTGTTTTGTTTTTTTCCTAAGGCTTTGACCCAAAGCTTGAAATTTAGTTTGAGACAAAAATGTGTCTCAAGGTGGTGGTTCCAAGATGGCCGAATAGGAACAGCTCCAGTCTACAGGTCCCAGCATGAGTGACGCAGAAGACGAATGATTTCTGCATTTCCCACTGAGGTACTGGGTTCATCTCACTAGGGCTTGTTGGACAGTGGGTGCAGGACAGTGGGTGCAGCGCACCGAGTGTGAGCCGAAGCAGAGCGAGGCATTGCCTCACCCGGGAAGGGCAAGGGGTCAGGGAATTCCCTTTCCTAGCCAAGCAAAGCTGTGACAGACGGCACCTGGAAAATCGGGTCACTCCCACCCTAATACTACGCTTCTCCAATGGTCTTAACAAATGGCACACCAGGAGATTATATCCCGCGCATGGCTCGGAGGGTCCCACACCCATGCAGCCTCACTCTTTGCTAGCACAGCAGTCTGAGATCGAACTGCAAGGTGGCAGCAAGGCTGGGGGAGGGGCACCTGCCATTGCTGAGGCTTGAGTAGGTAAACAAAGCGGCTGGGAAGCTCGAACTGGGTAGAGCCCACCGCAGCTCAAGGAGGCCTGCCTGCCTCTGTAGACTCCACCTCTGGGGGCAGGTCATAGCCAAACTAAAGGCAGCAGAAACCTCTGCAGACTTAAATCTCCCTGTATGACAGCTTTGAAGAGAGTAGTGGTTCTCCCAGCACAGAGTTCGAGATCTGAGAACGGACAGATTGCCTCCTCAAGTGGGTCCCTGACCGCTGAGTAGCCTAACTGGGAGGCACCCCGCAGTAGGGGCAGACTGACACCTCACACAGCCAGGTACCCCTCTGAGACGAAACCTCCAGAGGAATGATCAGACAGCAACATTTCCTGTTCAGCAATATTCACAGTTCTGCAGCCTCCACCACTGATACCCAGGCAAACTCCAACAGACCTGCAGCTAAGGGTCCTGACTGTTAAAAGGAAAACTAACAAACAGAAAGGACATCCACACCAAAACCCCATCTGTACATCACCGTCATCAAAGACCAAAGGTAGATAAAACCACAAAGATGGGGAAAAAACAGAACAGAAAAACTGAAAATTCTAAAAAACAGAGTGCCTCTCCTCCTCCAGAGGAATGAAGCTCCTCACCAGCAATGAAACAAGCTGGATGGAGAATGACTTTGACGAGTTGAAAGAAGAAGGCTTCAGATGATCAAACTTCTTCGAGCTAAAGGAGGAAGTTCGAACCCATCGCAAAGAAGTTAAAAACCTTGAAAAAAGATTAGACGAATGCCTGACTAGAATAACCAATGGAGAGCAGTCCTTAAATGACCTGATGGAGTTGAAAACCATGGCACAAGAACTACATGATGAATGCACAAGCTTCAGTAGCCAATTTGATCAACTGGAAGAAAGGATATCAGTGATTGAAGATTAAATGAATGAAATGAAGCGAGAAGAGAAGTTTAGACAAAAAAAGAATAAAAAGAAAAAAACAAAGCCTCCAAGAAATATGGAACTATGTGAAAAGACCAAATCTACATCTGATTGGTGTAACTGAAAGTGCCGGGGAGAATGGAACCAAGTTGGAAAACACTCTGCAGGATATTATCCAGGAGAACTTCCCCAACCTACCAAGGCAGGCCAACATTCTAATTCAGGAAATACAGAGAATGCCACAAAGATACTCCTCCAGAAGAGCAACTCCAAGACCCATAATTGTCAGATTCACCAAAGTTGAAATGAAGGAAAAAATGTTAAGGGCAGCCAGAGAGAAAAGTCGGGTTACCCACAAAGGGAAGCCCATCAGACTAACAGCTGATCTCTCGGCAGAAACTCTACAAGCCACAAGAGAGTGGAAGCCAATATTCAGCATTCTTAAAGAAAAGAATTTTCAACCCAGAATTTCATTTCCAGCCAAACTAAGCTTCATAAGTGAAGGAGAAATGAAATACTTTACAGACAAGCAAATGCTGAGAGATTTTGTCACCACCAGGCCTGCCCTACAAGAGCTCCTGAAAGAAGCACTAAACATGGAAAGGAACAACCAGTACTGCAAAAACATGCCAAATTGTAAAGACCATCAATGCTAGGAAGAAACTGCATCAACTGACGAGCAAAATAACCAGCTAACATCATAATGACAGGATCAAATTCACACATAACAATATTAACCTTAAATGTAAATGGGCTAAATGTTCCAATTAAAATAAACAGACTGGCAAATTGGATAAAGAGTCAAGACCCATCAGTGTGCTGTATTCAGGAAACCCATCTCAAGTCCAGAGACACACACAGGCTCAAAATAAAGGGAGGGAGGAAGATCTACCAAGCAAATGGAAAACAAAAAATGGCAGGGGTTGCAATCCTAGTCTCTGATAAAACAGATTTAAACCAACAAAGATCAAAAGAGACAAAGAAGGCCATTACATAATGGTAAAGGGATCAATGTAAGAAGAAGAGTTAACTATCCTAAATATATATGCACTGAATACAGGAGCACCCAGATTCATGAAGCAAGTCCTTAGAGACCTACAAAGAGACTTAGACTCCCACACAATAATAATGGGAGACTTTAACACCCCACTGTCAACATTAGACAGATCAATGAGACAGAAAGTTAACAAGGATATCCAGGAATTGAACTCAGCTCTGCACCAAGTGGACCTAATAGACATCTACAGAACTCTCCACCCCAAATCAACAGAATATACATTCTTCTCAGCACCACACCACACTTATTCCAAAATTGACCACATAGTTGGAAGTAAAGCACTCCTCAGCAAATGTAAAAGAACAGAAATTATAACAAACTGTCTCTCAGACCACACTGCAATCAAACGAGAACTCAGGATTAAGAAACTCACTCAAAACCGCTCAACTACATGGAAACTGAGCAATCTGCTCCTGAATGACTACTGGGTACATAATGAAATGAAAGCAGAAATACAGATGTTCTTTGAAACCAATGAGAACAAAGACACAACATACCAGAATCTCTGGCGATTCCTCAGGGATCTATACTGGAAATACCATTTGACCCAGCCATCCCATTACTGGGTATATACCCAAAGGACTATAAATCATGCTGCTATAAAGACACATGCACACGTATGTTTATTGTGGCACTACTCACAATAGCAAAGACTTGGAACCAACCCAAATGTCCAACAATGATAGACTGGATTAAGAAAATGTGGCACATATACACCATGGAATACTATGCAGCCATAAAAAATGATGAGTTCATGTCCTTTGTAGGGACATGGATGAAGCCGGAAACCATCATTCTCAGCACAACTATCGCAAGGACAAAAAATCAAACACCGCATGTTCTCACTCATAGGTGGGAACTGAGCAATGAGAACACTTGGACACAGGAAGGGGAACATCACACACTGGGACCTGTTGTGGGGTGGGGGGAGGGGCAGGGATAGCATTAGGAGATATACCTAATGTGGATGACAGGTTAATGGGTGCAGCACACCAGCATGGCACATGTATACATACGTAACAAACCTGCACATTGTGCACATGTACCCTAGAACTTAAAGTATAATAAAAATATATATATGTATATATATACAAATTATATACAAAAAAAATGTGTCTCAGGGGTTTTGCATAGACTCCTTATCATAAGCCAAATGCTAAGGCAAATCTGTGGAATTGAGTCCTCCTACAACAAGAGAGAAAAGTATGTCCTGTGGCATGCTCAGATAACTGGTGGCTATAGTAATGCTTGCTAAGATTTGAGTGCAAATGATTTGACTTTGGTTAGCTCCTTTGGCCTTACTTTCTCAAAAAGGACACCTCTGTGTGATGGGCACCCTATTTATTCCCATCACCTGGCAGGATTTGCAGGATAATTGCTCAGAATTAAAATATCGATCAGAGTTTTACATTACTTATCCCTTTTGTTCCTTCTGAGCTGCAGTTGGAAATTGCTGGTTGGTTCACAGGAATAAGCAGGGTTAGTCTGAAATGTAGGCAAGAAACTTAAAAACAATCAGTGAGTCTGGAGTTTAATAACAAATGTATGATAAGTTTTGAAACACAATTACTCTCTCCAGTCCTCATTTTTGTTAAAAGCAAATTATGACAGGACGGTGTTGTTTGCAAAATAGACTTTAGTCTTATACTTGGCCTGATTGTTTGCATAAAGTGCAGCAAGAATAATTATTTCTACATAAGCCTGTTAGATTGGCTTTGATGGAACTGTATTTCACAAGGAATCTCAGATAGGATTTTCTAAAGCTGAGCCCAGCCATAGGTTTGTATCCTTAAATACCTGTGAGTTGGGTAAACTTCTCTTTTCCTGAGGTCTAAAGAACATGGGTTTCCTGAGCCTGTTAGAACGTGACTTTCTCTACTAACCACAGGTTAGGAACCCTGTACAAGGACTGTGTAGACAAGGTATGAAGACAGTTTCCTAACAAGGGCTTTTATAAGCTCTGCAAGTCGAGCTTGACTCCTTAAAGGGAGGCACACCCTTCCAGTCAAAGCCTTGGTAAAACAACCAGTTTCTCCAATTGTGTCCTGTTGCAAAAGAAAATAAATTCATATTGCACTGATGCAAACAACTATATTGCCAGAAGTTAAGAATTCTCACAACTAGTTTCCAAATTCTGTAGAAGCCAGAGAGGACAAATATGCTCCAAATTTTGGTCACAGGAGTATACCTTACTCAATTGTTAAAGGCTGTAAATAGCTCAAAATAAGTTCCCTTGACTCTGAAAAATGAAACAAGGATCAGTAATGTTCCAAGCAAAAGTCAAAAATATTACTTCAGTTTTCTATTAGTTCAGTCGACCCAGTTAACTCTTATTCTGCTTTATATTCATGAACATTTCAGCTCTTCCTGAATCTGGTATATTTTTCCTTTATTACAGTGTAACAATCTCCAAAGTTATAAAAAAAAAAACTGCATTTGAGAGGACCTGTCATAGTTCTATAGCTGATTATAAACCATCTTTTGAAGAGGATTAAAACAAGACAACAATTGAATAACAAAATGTCCAGGGTAGTTAGAGTCAGAAACACAATTATCAAAGCAATTTGGTTATCTCTGTAGTTTACTATAACTTTAACATAATTGTGATTGATGGCATATACTCAGACATTAGAATTTTAGAAATCCCATACAAATTCAGAACATTATTAATATTACTCATTAAAATATAACCTGAAGAAGATTAAAGATCATTTTAGCAATCCCATGTACCTAAATATGTCAAATAATCCTGTTTACTTCTCTTCTGTATGTTTCAGGGGCCCTCTGTAACATCTAAAAGCTAGGAGTCGGGAGAGAAATTTTTGAAACTAAAGTTTGGTTTTGGGAAGTCTGTTAAACATATTAGAGGTTTAAAACACTTGATGTTATTAAACAGAATTCCAGATTACCTTAAGTTATTTATTTGTCAAATGATGACTCAGAAATTTTAAAAAAGGAAAAACATTTTATAATCCTTTTCAATTTAGTCAATGTTCACACAATTTTTTTCAAGATTAATTTTTATAATCCTTCCACAACTTGTTTAGACTTTTAGCTTTATCTTATCTAATTCAAAAGAATCCTTTAACCATAGGCAAAAATTTACATTTTGACATCTTCATTTTACCAATAATCTTTAAGGCTGTTTTTATTTTTCAAAGATTAAAGTCATGTGAACTAAAAGGTACCACAGCTTTTATCGTCCCTGTAAAAAATGTTTGATCCAAGCACTTATCCTTCAAGTCAATTAACTAGATCTCTTATTTATAGAAATGACACACATAACACATATAGAACTACACAGACAGGCAGAAGAAGATCCAGTAGCTGTAAGATTTTTTGTTTGCCAAGCTCCTAATTGAATTATTGGCCTCTGGGTGGAGCCCTTTAAGAGCAAGGCTAGGAAAGCATGTGATTTTCTAGGACCTAATAAACAGGTATAGCTGGAAGACAAAAACAAATTTTGAGAGGTATCCATCTGCCTCTAATTCCTGGGGCTCCATGAGGAAAACAGAGGTCTCTCCCAAAATGGAATCCATGGGGCCTTTTCTGCTTTTCCCAAGGACTCCTAGACCATCAGAAATTATCTTAGAGGCTCTTCTGCATGGATTAAGGGTGGCAAGACAAAAGGGAGAAAATTCAGTCGACTGGAAAAAAAAACTTTTTTGTAGCAAAATAAGATCCAATAAGAGAAAAGCATAAAGGCCTTTAAAATATACCTGTAATTTTGATATCCACTTTTAATTAAGCTGAGCACTCTTAAAGAAAAATCCTTGGAAATCCCTTATTACCTGTCTTTAGCCACACCAAGTGGCTAATATTCCTGGCTTTTGAACTTTACCAAACATAACCTCCCAGGTGCTCAGAGAAAGGAAAATTCAAGGCAGTTCATGGAGGGGTAGAGAATCAACAAATGGCAAAGGTCACACAGACATCAAATCGGAAAGGAATCATTCCCTAAGCCAGATTGAACCTGGGCCACCACTGTAAAATGGCAGAGGTTAAAACAAAGCACTGCCACGTGGTTCTCCCAAGGACATAAAACAAGATGGAGGCCTGCAGCAAAGTTTACTACTGACCAATTTGCCAGGCTGGCTTGAAGAGTGGGCTTATAAAATCCTAGGCCCACATCTCATCCTAAGGTACCCCTCTTTCTGATGGAACCATACAGAAAGACATGAAAATCATAAAAGAGTTGCTATAGCTTAAGACAAACCTCACAAATCCTTTATCATAATTAAAACTTTACAGAGAATGTCAACAGTGATATTTGGGGTCCTGGCTTAGTAAAACGTCTTCTAAAGGGGAAAAAAAAGCCTTCCATGTAAAAGTTAACTCCCAGTGAAGAAAAGAAAAAAAAAAACAGCTTAAAGCACAGGGCTGTGTGAACTGCTGACAGGGTGGAGAAAAGAAAAAATCTGTTGCTAGAGAAATTTTGTGTTCCATTGGTGGTGTCATATTTCCTTGCTTTTTCATGTTTCTTGTGTTCTTACATTCAGATCTACACATCTGGTGTAACAGTTACATCTTTCCATTTTTTGAGTTGGCTTTTATAGGGAAAGACTTTTTCCTATAGCTGTAACCATAGTGTTGGTTGCATAGGGTGCTTTAGTTTTGATTCTGAGTACATGTGGTAATGTAGTCTCTGTATGACTTCTTCAGCTGTAATGAACATCAGTGGTGTCTGTGAGTTCCTAAGTGGCTTAGGTTTAGGTTGTTAACAGAGGCTGTGATGAGGCTTTGTTGAGGCTTTATTGCTGAGGCTAACCCTCAGGCCCCAGTGGCAGTGGCAGAAGGCCAAATGTGCTTGTCCTTGGATTCCCATGTGGCATATATGGACAATGGTGTTAGCAAATCTAGGTGGACTGATCCTTGAGCTTCCAGGTAATGTGTTTGGATGCCATCAGTGGCAGAAGTAGGTCAGGTAGGTAGGCAGGTCCTCAGTTCCCTGGGTGGTGTGCATGGCATCAGTGATGGCAGTAGTAATGGCAGGCCAACCCTCAGGCTTTCAAGTTGCACATACAGGCAGCAGTAGGCTAGGCACGTCAGTCCGCAGGCCCCTAGGTGGTGTATGTGGGTGGATGCCAGTGTTATTGGTGATGGCAGGCTGGGTAGGCCTATCTTCAGGCTCCCAGGAGGAATGTGTGGGTGCCATCAGGCCATCAGTGGAATGCAGGGCAGAACAATCCCCAGGCACCCAGACCATGCACTTGGGAACTGGCAGGAATGACACCAGGTGAAGCGGTTCTGTCCTCAGGCCCCCAGTAGTGCACATAGGCACAAGCTGCAGTAGTAGGGCTTGTTGGTCCCTCAGCCTCCAACAGATGGGTACAAGCACCAGCAGGCTATTCAGACCTGTCCTTAGGACCCTGGAAGCTATATATGGGTGCCAGTGACAGCAGGTGGGGTGGGTTAAACCCGGGTCCCCAGAAAGCACACTCAGATCCTTGCAGCAGATGTGCTGGGTCAGTTTTCAGCCTTCTGATGGTGCACACACATGCCGGTGGTGACATTCAGGGTTGGTCAATCAATCCCCAGGTGCCCATATGGCATGCTCAGGCACTGGTAGGAGCAGTACCAGGTAGGGTGGCACTAGTCTGTTTTACACTGTTTTAGTCTGTTTTCACACTGCTATAGTCTGTATTAGTTTGTTTTCGCACTGCTATGAAGAACTGCCCGAGACTGGGTAATTTATAAACAAAAGAGCTTTAATTGACTCACAGTTCCACATGGCTAGGGAGGCCTCACGAAACTTACAATCATCGTGGAAGGCAAAGGGGAGGCAGGCACCTTTTTCACAAGGCAGCAGGAGAGAGAGTATGTCCAGGATAAACCGCCACTTTTAAACCATCAGATCTCATGAGAATTCCCTCACTATCACGAGAACAGAATGGGGGAAAACAACCCCATGATCCAATCACCTCCCACTAGGTCCCTCCCTCCACACATGGGGATCACAATTCCAGATGAGATTTAGGTGGGTACACAGAGCCAAAGCATATCAGGTGGGCCAACCCTCAGTATCCCCCCCCGCCCCACAATGATGTGCACAGGTGCAAGCTGTGTTGTGCAGGGAGGTTGGGGCAATCCTTAGGCCCCTGGCAGATACATTCAGGAACTGGTAGCAGGCAGCCTGGGCCTGTTGTCAAACCTCCTGATGGTTCTCATATGCACCAACTGCAATAGATACCTAGCTGGTGTGCTCGGGTGGCGATGGCACAGGGCAAGGTGGGTCTGTCTTCAGGCCCATTAAAGGCATATGTAGGTGAATGACAGCCCTGCTCCTGGAGGAGAGGGTAAGGTTGTTTTCAGTGGCAGCAGCCCCAGGCAGGTAGCTCTCAGGCTATGGGGAGCATGCATTTTGGCTCCCTTTGTCCCTAGGGCAGCCTCCTCCCTGTTAAACTGCACTGCTCATTCCCTAAAATATAGCACCCTGTGTTGGCTAAAGTGCTGGGGACTAGGCTGCATGACTAGGTTCAGACAGTATCACAACACTGCAGCCTACCAGGTAGATACAGGAGAATGTTATGGGGCTCCGGAAATATGGAGATGCAGGTGCTGTTGGGCCTCTGGGCAGGATGTAGCCTGGTGAAGGCTAGGCTCTCAAAATGGTGCTGTCCTGCCCCTGCTTGAGTCTCAGGGGATGTGTGGGACCCCGTGCAGACTCCCTCTCTAGAACAATACCATCACACAGACTCCAGGTAGAGCCCTATACTATTCTCAGGGTCTATTAGTGCCAAGTGGCTCACCCATGGCTAAGATTGCAGGAGTTCATGCTGGGGAAGTGGACCACTGGGAATCTCTCACTTACTCTTTCCCTGTACTGGGGATCCTCTTCTAGATCCCAGCTGATCCTAGCCAGGCTGTGTGCCTCACTTCCTTTACTTTCTGTCCCTCAGATGTTCCTTGTCACTTCCATGCCGAATTCCAGTATTCTTTCTTAGATGCTCTATTTAAAGTGTGATTATCTATTTGCTGTTTTGGTCCTTCTTTGTGGAGTAGGTGAATGCCAGGTGCCTCTAGTAAGACATCTCTCATAGTTTTAATCAGTAATATTATTCTAGCCCTAGAAAGAGATGCAGCCTTTCCCCTCTCAGAGAGCAGTATCCCTTTCCCCAAACCTGGACCATTCCTGTACTGTCTAACAGAACTTTTCTGTAAGCATTTTCCACCTTAAACTCAATATTTTGAATGAGTTGAAAGACTACCCTTGAAAATAGCTCAAAACCATGTTTTGAAATTAGGCTGGATAGAGGGAGGCCAAGGGCTATGGGCTGTTTATCACTATCTTAGAGTAAATGAAAATTGAAGTTGAATGCTAAGGTAATGCTGACTCAGACTTCAAACATAGAAGCTCTGCATTCCATTCCAAACTTCCCTTTCAGACCAACTGAGTTTTTATACCACTTGGCAATACCCAGAATTACTATCACTGTGGAACTTAACCACTTTTTAGTATTTTAAGTAGTTAATTGTATTGAATGGTTTTAGAATGTTCTCATGTATTTTTGTTCAATAATATAGGTAGGGAAGGCATGTCAGCATATACTTATAAAGTGAATATAATAACTTATGATATATTCATTCTCATTGTTATAAAACATCTTTAGTCTCTGGCTATTCAAGAGACATTAAAAAATTTAAAAATTCCAAATATGGCAACATTAGAATTAAGAGCATTAGAGTAATGCTGGAGATGAGAAAAAAAGTTAGCAAGTGAATGAAACTAAGAGGAGCTGATGAGTTTGAAGTATGCAAAAGATAGGATTAATAGTGTGTAGACAACTTGAATAGAGAGGTAAATAGTTGCAAGGAGTCTAAAAAAGTTCTTTAGCTTCAGCAACTTTCTGTGTGGTAATACTATAGGTAATAGGGTGCTGAAATATAATTTGGAGAGATGCACAAAGGAAATATACAGCCTATTTTTGTGTAATTTTGAAGCGCTCTTGTGAGCTGTCTAGGCAGAAATAGCTAGTCAGTAGTTAGATATACAACTGTAACTCAGGAAAAAAAATGGGTCTAATTTTCTTTTCAGTATTATTGAGGTAGAATTTACAAACCATAAATTCATTCACTGTAAATGCATAGCTCAATAATTTTTAAATTGTTGCACTGCTTCAATCCAGCTTTAGAAAAGTATCACCCTGAATCCCATGCAACCACTGATTTACAGTCTGTCTCTATGGATTTGGAAATGTCACAGACATGGCATCATATAAAATAGATACTTTTTTTGTCTGGCTGTTTTTACTTAGAATACTGATTTTGAGGTTCACCCATTTTGCTGCATACATCAGTAGTTTCTTCCTCTTTATTGCTGAGTTGTATTCATTAGATAGATATACTAATTTTGTTTACCCACCAGCATGTTGAGGGACATTTGACCATTTTTTTTTACTATGATGAACATTTGCAAAAGTCTTTGTACAAACATGCTTTCATTTCCTTCAAGTATAAATGTAGAAGTAGAATGGCTCATTTGTATCATATGTGTATGTTTGACTTTTTAAGATACTGCCAAATTTTTTCACTAAGTGACTGTATCATCTTAAATGCCCACCAGCAATATATACGGATAGTGATATATATTTGTCATAAGTATTTAAGTAGTAATAAAAACAGTATATAAGTGGTAGTGATCATCCGGCATACTGGTTATAATAGGCTAGATTATGCTGCAATAACAAACAATTCCAAGATGTCAGTGGTTTATAATAATAAGAGTTTTTCTTCCTGCTCTTGCAACGTGCCCATAAAGAGTTGGTTGAACCAACCAACTCTACCATATTTCATCTTCATTCATGAGCTCAGGAGGATAGAGCAGGCCCTATGTGGAGTACTTGCCTTTTGTAATAGTAAGGAAAAAGACAATGTAGCAAACCATAACCCAGTTTTAAAGCTTCGGCCTGAAAGTGACACCCTAATACTAACCCTAACCAGTTCCACTCATGTTTCTTTGTTCAATCTAGTCACGTGGCTAAGCCTGACTTCAATGAATGGGAAGATATAATCCTTCCTCAAGAAGGGGAAGAAAAGCAGATATTGGTGAAGCTGAGGCATACAATCTACCACACCCAGAGGGAAGATAAATGGCCAGAAGTGAGCAAAGACCGTGTGGAATACCATTCATTTATTTAAACACATTTTTAGCAAGTACCTACTATATTCCAATGATAATGTGTCTCTGGTCGTCTAGCAAGCTAGCCTGGGCTAGTTCATGTGGTAGGGCAGGAAATCAAGAGGACAAGTAGAAGCATTCAAGACCCCTTGAGGCCAATGCTTGAAACTGGCACAATTTCATCACATTATACTGGCCAAAGCAAGGCACAAGACCTACCCAGTCTAAAGAGATGAGGAAATAGACTCCACCTCTAGATGTGAGAAGCTGCAAAGTCATACTGCAAAGGGCATAGATACAAAAAGGACAAATAATTGTACTTATTTTTACAACCATTCTACCACACAACAAAATGCCAGTTATTGCAGAAAGCTACTGTAACACTGCTTCCATATCCATATGGAACACTTCCCTTGGAAATGGAGTGTTGGAATAAACCCAGGATGAGGGTGGTTGTAAATTGAGTAAGAAAGTGGTCAAGTAAAATCTGGTCAAGTCTGAGGAACTCATTGAATTGTTTTCTCCTTCTATAGTAATAGAGAAATTTCTAGTACATCATGAGATCCTGTAATGATCAGTGTGGAAACTATTTTCAAAATTATGTATTCCAGAGGATGGAAAGTTTTTCTGATATAGCATAGGAACAATTTTTGCTGTAGTCATTAAAATTTGCAAACTTGTATGGAATTGCTTAACTGTAAAATATACCAGGATCTATCCTAATATATGGTGATACAGAGGTACATGACTCCTGGAAACTATCATGAGCAAAATATTAGGAGACTTGATTGGGCACTGAATAGGCTAAGGCCCAATGCCTGATAAGAGGAAAGTTTGTCTTCCATTTCCTCCCCTGCCAACATCCAAAACAAATTATCTGCTTCTAACACTCCATTGAAGATAAGTGAATAAAATAGAATATTAATCTAAAGATGTGAAATTAGGAAGACAAGGGTGATTATTTGAATGCTAATAGCATTAAGAACTCCATAATTGCTACATAAATGAAGCATCACCTCCTTTTTAAAGAATGCATCTCTTGATTGGGGAAATACCCTTGAGAGTAGTTTTCTACACTACTCATGGTTAAACCCTGCCTGAACAACACATGCACAATACGTGGACCACCTTTGATATTGCTTCTCACCTGTAAACTCAGTGTAGCCACTGATGCTAGTCTAAAGAAGACATTTTGTTTTGAAAACTGTAAGGTGCCGTTTTGAAGATCACTGACATTTTGAAACAGAACAAATTGAAATAAAATCAAACGACCAAATTTTAAAAAGAAACTACTCAGTTTCCATCTTTGATGAAAGAATTCGAAGTCATTTGCAAACCAATCACCATGATAGACAATTGCTAAATGAGTTATTAATATGCATTATATAGCAAACTATATAAATATATCCTCAAATATAACCTTATATAAACGAGAATCATGCAGTTGTTAGCCAGAGAGTTGGGGGAGATGCGTTCTTTTTTAGTCAGTCATTGTGGCAGCTAATATATGTAACAAGATGAGAAAAGATACAGTTCAGTTCCACTTTCCTGGTGATTTACTGCCACTCACAAGACTGACAGAACATCGTACCCAAGGCATCAGTATTAATCATTCCACAGCTGTTCTCAATTTACCTCTTGAGCTTTCCAAATGTTAATGGCATATACTAGTCTGGAATGGCAAGAAGAAAAATTTTAAGTAAAGGTTTAAATATTTATTAGGAAAGATATAGATATAGACATAGATACAAATGATATTACTAGGTACAAATCAAGAAGACTAGATGGCCTAGATTATACATGAAAAAAAGAGACATGTAAAACTTTTTTGTTTTCAATTTTTTTTCTAAACCATATATACACTATGTTTAAATAGCAACACTCAATAATGTGTTTTAGATGCTACTTACATGAATTTATGGAAGGATTTCCACAGTACTTAGAAAATTATTTGACAATTAGGTGTCATAGAAAGAGTTTTCCTAAACAAATGGAAGTTTATTATTGCCCCGGTTTAAAAAACAAAACAAAAAAAAACAAACTTGGTTTGTGGACATAGAATTTCCCTGTGTAAATCAATCAAGCAGAAAAATTACAAATTACTGGTATTGCTTTTTTTACATGTAAAATGAGATAGTTTGCTACTATCTCTATTTGTTCTCTTACCTAAGTTTCTTTTTAGGAATGGTAACGAAGAGGTTTAAGGAATAATTTTAATCTTAATTCTTAGGAATGAAGACTAAGAAAGAAAATTAAATCCTGACCATTTCCTCTCTATTCTACTGAGAAGTTACAGGGCTCCAAAATTAATGCTAGACACAAAAAATGATTTTCTTCCAAAGCAGCTTTAAAAGCCTCAGGGGGAAATAAAACCTTGGGTGGTAAGTAATTCATTTAATCTATATCTGAACTTTGGTTTCCAGACCTGTAAAGTAAAACTAATATTACCTTCCTCGTAAGAGTTTCTGTAAGGACTAAACACAATAATATATATTTTAAAACCTGAATAAATTATAGTCGATTTGCCTAGAATTAAAAAAAATTGAGTTGGAAATAACAGCAACATCTAACAAATGTGTATAATGACGGTCCACATTCTTTGCTGGCTGGCTGGCTGGCTGAGAGAATAAATACTCCAATCTCCTTTTCTTCACTTCTTCTTATGTCCTTCTAGGCTCTCATTGCCCTATCAGAAGGCAATGGTCAAAGTTGTCCATGTAAATAATCCATATTAGGTCAGCCTCATGGAGAAAAGAGCAGGGTAGAAAAGAGTAAAGAGTGAATTTGGAAGGGCAAATGGAAGATACTTGGCACATGACATTTTTCACTGTTTCTTGAACACCATAAAGGTGGTAGCCTACGCCAACATTTATATAACTCCTTTTGTTTTCTCTCTCATTAACTTTTCTTTCACACCACAAGTCCTACCATATCACCCTCTCTCAAACTACCAGTAAAAACGTACTCTGTATATACTCTTCCAATCCCATTCAGCCCTAGTCTTTCCCTCTTCTCCCTGTTCTGCCTAACAACATCCCAGAGGGACTCTGGAAATGGCAGAAATCTCCTTAGAGGTGATGGGTAGAGAAGAAAATAAGTAAACAAGATTAGTATCTTCTTTCCTTGCTAAGTGGTAAAGAAAGGACTCAGAATATTGATACAATAATTTTTCCCAGTACAATTACAAAGTCCACAGCTACTCTTGTTTTTTGTCCACTCTATCTCCTTTCCATTTCTCCTACTGCTGTTAGAATGATTACTCTAGACACAAATTTGATTCTGCCATTTATTCATTCATTCATATGTAAGTAGCTTTCTTCAATAAATTACAAAAAATAGCCACAACTCTCTACTTTTGTTTATACTCAGGTCCCCTTGCAATGTGATGTTGCTGGCTCTCTTATCAAGAGGTAGAGTCTCATTCCTCTCACTCCTGGAAACACTGTCACCACCTATGAACAAGCCTAAGCTTACCTGATGGATGACAGGAGACACTCAGCCCAATAGCCTTCATCGCTCCACCTAACTGGCAGCCAAGCACCAGACATGTGAATAAAGCCATCCCACCTAGCCAACCACTGAAAAGGAGCAAGTCTAGCCAAGTTCAGCTGAGCCTGAGCCAGATCCGCATTACCAGCCAGCTCACCCTTTGGCTTGTGAGTATTATTAAACAGTTATTATTTTAAGCCACAATGTTTTGGGGATTGTTTATTATACAGCAGTGGATAACTTATACACTCTTCATCGCACACAATACAAAAAATATGACTGTCTCATAAGATAATAAGACCCTTCATGAAGCCTGATATTAATGTTCAGTCTCATACTCTGACCTCCAAAGCTGTCTGTACTACAGTTTAGCCCTTGGAGTCTAAGCAGTGCTCTGCAAATAAGTGTATATTTCCATACTTTTCTGCTTTGCACGGGCATTCAAGAACAGAAAAGGAAATGGAAGCCAACATATATAGAGTACATAAAATGTTCCAAGATCTTTACATATTGCTTTTTACACCTTCACAATAACCCTATAAAGTTGTAGTTATCCTCATATTATAGATTGAAACTTTTGTGACACAGAAGTCCAGATTTCTCAAGCCTATCCAACTAGCAAGCGATAAATCTACATTTTGAAAAAAAAAATCTATATGGTCTCAAAGTCCATGATCTGCCTATTGCACAATTGCCTGTGAGTTTGGTGTCCAGATGGGGAGTGAGCTGGGTTAAGATTAATTTCAGTATTATGTTGATAATGCTGTCAAAGGTTATTTGAGTTATTTGCTTACCCCATTTATCTTGTTGGACATGTAAGGATTTTAGCAGGATGGAAATGGGCTCCTCTAATACAGTTATCCTTTCTCTATAATTTCCTTTTTTGAAAACTACCATACTTGCTTTATAAATGCTATTTTTTCTGCCTGGCAAAGCTTTTCCTCTTTCTCCATCTGACTAACTCATACTCATCCTTCAAGACCCGGTTAAAAATCTAACATACCCAAGGAAGACTAGATAGAAATATTATAGATAGAAGTAAATGCCCACTCCTCCGAGCTTCAAAACCACTTTGTCAATGTCTTTATCATAGTATATTTAGTTGTGTACCTTTCCCTTTTCCCCTTTTTGAGAAAACTGAGAAAAAGGACCATATTGTATCCATTTGCACCCATGCAACTTAGCAATATACATGGTGCATAGCAAACGTTCACTAAATATTTGTGGAATTATAGTGAATAGTTTTCTATCTGCTTAACAAGATATGACAAAAATATGTTTGTTCGTTTTTCCAAAACTTTGGGTAAGAGAACTGGTTTGGGCTAGGAAAAAGATGTTCACTGAAACACCAAATTCTGTTGCTACTTCTTTCTTTCTTTTATTCTATTTATTTATTTATTTATTTATTTATTATTGTTATTTTATTTTATTTTTTTTTGGAGAGCCAGGGTCTCACTATGTCACCCAGACTGGCCTCAAACTCCTGACCTCAAGTGATCCTACCATCTTGGCCTCCGAAAGTGCTGGAATTACAGGTATGACTGAGCAACAGCACCCAACCTCTGTTGCTATTTCTAAGTAAAAAACTCTTTTTCATATTTCTTTTATAAAGTAATTTCCAATATAATTAATGCCAAGAACTAAAGCATTAACACCTCTAGAGAAAAAAACAATGACAGCAATATCTGAGGTAATTGGGAAATGTAATGATGAATTTGCACAGTAGACAAATAGAACTACTAAAGAGATCCATCCTACTAAACGTAGTTATTAGCAAAGCACACATTAATCTTCTCATGTCAGATAAAACTTTGCACTTAAACTTTTACCTAATTGATTACTTAGCTGACAAAGCTGTAATTACCGCTGCAAATTTTAAAAGAAATGTCAAGATATTGAAGTAATCTGGTCTAGAAGTGTGAACGTTCTTTATTTGTTTGTGTTAAATCATGTTAGTAGATAATGTCTTTTGCAGAGAAAAAGAATGTCGATGAGAAATGTATATGTTATAAATAAATTTCTGGACTCTTTCCAAATATTCCCCCAACCCAAATCCAACATTCTAAGGGAAGGCGCCTCTAATTTCATTACCTTTTTAAAGTAGGCTGTCTAAGGAATTATGGCTCCCTAATAATTTAGGCCCATTTTAATGTGGTGATATATATTTAAGGTTTTAATGATGCTATTTACAATTATCAGATTAAGTTTGACCCTTGCCCCCTATCCATTTCAGTGACTATCACATTACCACAGTCCTCAGAAGTACAGATCAACTTTGGTAATTATTCCTTGTAGAGAGACATGAAGACTATTTTCCATGTCTTCATAGGAAGACTATTCAAAGTAATAAATTAGGTTTGTATAAGAACACTGATTGATGACCACAATGATGTATGTTGAATCATCAATCTAAATCTGGCTGTATGAATAATTTGTGTGAGCATAAAGACATGTACAATATCATACAAACAAGGGTGGAAATTCTAACATTAAATGATTTAGGAAGCCAAATCAATCACAGACTATGAGAAAATGATCACGTGCTAAGAAATAACAGACCTGAGAATGAACATGATTCATTAATTAGTGAGATGTAGGATTAAGGCCATAAGGCTTCAGGCTCTGACAAGGGCTTTTCCAGGAGTATGATCAGTCAATTATGAGGCATGGTAACTGCTGGCTGCCTGGGAACACAGTAGTCATAGTTCTAGTTTTAGAAAACACTGGCTTATAAATGCGTAAGTGAGAAAAGGAATTGCCACTAGATTAACTATGAAGATCTCCAAAATTTCACCTTCAACTGTCTAAGGCAATTATGAATATATATATAGGTATGGGTTGCTTAATTTTTTAAAGCAAAAATACAAAACAATATCATCTTTGTTAGCACTACTGAAAGTTAGATCATCAGAAAGGAGTTGGGAAAAAATAACTTAGAATTGGTAAAAATAAAAATATAGTAAGGGTAAAAGAGTTCACCTTAAGCCATCTATTTTAATATGCCTCTGAAGAGTTATGATGGCTTATGGGGAAATTTTAAAACATAATAGAAAACTTGAGACCAATTCTACATGTTTTCTTCTATTTTTTTCCATTAAAGATTTTGGTTTGGATTCTATTTCCTTTGCTACTTTCACCTTCCTGAAGTCATAATCTTCCAATTGTAACATAAAAAAACTTTTTCTGTAACAACCAACTGTGATACCTCAAACAGAGGACTACTCTTTGAGATTCGAAAAAGCAGCAGGAAATGACTGTCAAATTAAAAAAAAAAAAAAAAAAAAGAACTAGCAAAGAACTAAGCAGTAGAAATTCAGAGAACATAACATAGAGACAGAAAGGACCTTCCAGAGAATGTCTAATTTTCCCAAAGAGATTTCCTGGGTTCTGTTAGACCACTTTCCCAGAATATAATCAGCCAGAATTTATCTTGGAAATAATAGCAAAGTTTCACAATGCAGAGAATTTAGGGCCCAGGAATTGTTTAAAACTCACAGTTTTCATATAGCATTAACAGTATTGTAGGCTGTTTTGTTCCTTTAGAATTGTGACCTATGTGAATGTATTACTTATTCAATAAATAGTTTTTCAAATGCTCAAAAAAATCACAGTTCTCAAGAATCTCACTATTCCAAACAGAAATATCATGAAAACTGCTAATTTCTTGAACATTAATGAGTATTAGTAAGTGAAGACATGAGACAAATACTAAATAAAGAGGCTGTAAACAAAAAGAGAAATAAGTTATAACTCTCCACTAAGTTATGTGTTTCTTCCATATATTGAAAGAATTTTTAACCATCATTGAATCGGCAGACTAGATAACAAAAAATTTACCTGTATCAAAACATGTAACAGTTGTAAAATGAAGAAGGGCTTAAATGATATTCTTTGGAAGACATTATTAAATCATAAGAAGAAAATTTCAAATTAACAACTACATAATATCTATTGCTCAAAAATAATTTTTAACCCCCTTCAAGCTATAGAATATCCGAAGATAATTTTAATACTAAAAGCATAATCTAGATTGTTGTGGGAATAAAAAATAATAATACACATGAGTGTACTTTATAAATATGAAGCGTTCTTCACATGAAAGAAATTGTAATGATCATTGTTTTGGGAGTTGACAGAAGTGATAACACATGCTGATTCAAGAATTTTTCAGAATATACTTCACACCATCATCTAATTTTGACTCTTTCAATCTGAAAGTATTATTTTCTTCTTATGATTTGCTGAAGAGACATTTTCTTTTTATCTTCGATACTGCATCTCTTGGTAATAATCGCAAGAGATGTAGCACTCAAGGAGGGGAAGATTTGCTTGCTTCTTATCTAGTTCATTTAAAAGGCTTGCAACTCTCTTAGTTTGGATTTCCCTGAAAACAGAATCTGAGAGAAGAACTTGCATGCAGGAAAGTTTATTGTAGAAAGAAAATGAGACAAGAAGGATAAGTTAATAAAATGTTGAGATGGTGAGCAGTTGAGGTCACTGCTCTAGGAATCAAGGCTCAGTTCTACCAGCACTTCTGTGAAACATGTGGAATTGTCCACTCAAAGAGCACTAGGCTGGAACTTTCATCTACTGACTTTACCCTCCATTGGATTAGTGGTGTAGAGTATCAAGTCCCTTATACTTCCAAGCTGTGACTGCACAGGGCCAAAGAAGCTTCTACTCATTGGAGAAGACCCTGGGGTAGAAAGAGGATGGACACATAGTGAATCTTTAAGGTAGGATGATGCTGGTATGAGGTGAGTCTGAGCTCACACAGAACTATTAGCAACAGTTGAACATTAGTGCATTAGTTTTTTATTGCTGCACAATAAATTACCACAGGCAGCAGCTTTAAAAAAATACCCATTTTTTAGCTCAGTTTCTGAAGGTCAGAAGTTCAGGTGTGGCATAGATTCTCTGCTCAGGGTCTCACTGGACTAAAATGAAGGTGTTGGCCAGGACTGTCATTCTCAGCTGGATTCAGGGTTCCCTTCCAAGCTTATTGGTTATTAGCAGAATTCATCCTATAGCTGTAGGACTCAAGTTTCACTTTCAGTTCTGCTCTCAGTTCCCACTGAGACTGCCCACATTTCCTTGCCAGGTGCCCTCTCCCCACCTGCACCTCCCAGGGCCCCAGGCAGTTCACAAAACGGATGTTTGCTTTCTTTTAGGCCAGTAAGGATGAATCTTGATGACTTCTTCTTCTGCCAGCGATGGAAAAAAAACTCTGATTTTAAAGGGTTCATGCCATTAGGTCAGATAGTGTTCCTATCTTAAGGTGAAAAGATTAGGACTTTAATTCCATCTGAAAAATCTCTTCACAGCAGCACCTAGGTTAGTGTTTGATTAAATAATTGTGAGATAGAGTGTGTATACCAGGAGCCAGGAGCTTGAAAAAATCTTAGAATTCTTTATTCTAGGAAACATCTTAGAATAAAGAAAAGAGGTTTAATTTGCTCACAGTTCCACAGGCTGTACAGGAAGTGTGGCAGCGTCTTCTTCTGGGGAGGCCTCAGGGAGTTTTTACTCATGGCCAAAAGCAAAGCAGGAGCAGGACTGAGAGAGAAGAAGGAGATGCTACATACTTCTAAACAACTAGATCTTGTGAGAACTCTATCACAGGTACAGTACCAAAGGGATGGTACCAACCCATTCATGAGAAACCACCACCATGATCCAATCACCTCCCACCAGGCCCCACCTCCAACATCGCAGATTGTAATTCAACATGCAGTTTGGGCGGGGACGAAGATCCAAACCATGTCAGGCACCAAAAGCATCTGTTATAGCAATTTTTTAAAGTGAGTTTGTTTTTTGCTTAGTAGTTTTGTAGGAGAGAAGCCAAAGTTTAACAATATGGGTTTGAGTTAAGAAGTACCCTTTTAAGATTTGTCTAAAGAATTAATTGATTATACTTTTCTGGTATTTAAGGAACAAAACAGGATAGATCTCAACACCCATCATAACTTAGATTTTCAATTATTTCCTATGATATATTCTACATAAGTTGCTTAAATATGTATGTCTGTTAAATAAGGACTATGCCATAAAACTGTGCGGAAGAACTGTGCAACTACTAAAAAAGGTAAAGTGGCAGATTCTAAAAGATTTACTTCCCATTTATCCTGTATTGTGAGCATTACTTGAATGAATTACAACAGACTCAGTTAATTTTTTCATACATAATTGTTACATTTTATCTAGCCTATTAAATCTAACATTTAAATTTAAAAACCCAGTTACCGTAAATTAAATACCTGCCAATTTTATGGATATAAGCACATGCTAATCTTCATGCTGGAAGATGAGCCATGCAGATAATGAGAAACAGAGCTATATTTAGAAGCACATAACTCGAGCTGGTTATTTAAATTTTAGCTCCGCTAGATCTTGTATGAAGTTTTTTTCCATTTTGTGAAAAGTATGTTCAACAGTTCTTCTAACTGTATCATTTAACTACTGAGAAGCCTACCTGACATTACCTATTTTTGTGCAGACAATCGCAGTGTTGCATTTTTGGTTACTGACACACAAAAGCAGCACTGTGGTTTTTCTGAATACACTTTCAGCTCTATATGACATCTCTGGTAATATCTGCTGTGGCTTCCTGAGAAGCTCCCTAAACTATTGATGAGCAAGAGAGAAGCAAAGGGAAATACAAATCCCAAAGGGTGCCTTCCTTACTCTCTTTGCACCTTGATCATTTTCATGCTCCTTGGCTTGAAAGGAGTGTCCTACGTGTTTGAACACTTATTGTATGCCAAACACTATCCCGAGAATTTTACTTATATGCTTTATCCTCATTTAACCTTGATAAACTTTATGAAATAGCCACTGATTATATCTTTATTTTACAGATAGGGTGACAGAAGAGATTATGTGACTTGCAAATGCCTAATAAGGTCATATAGCTAATAAAAACATAATAAAGATTCAAACCTAGGCAGCCTAACTTCATAGCCAGTGTTCTGAATCTTATGCTGTATTATCATAAAGGTAGTGAATAAATTAATCTTCTACAATTGCTACTCAAGGTCTAGAGAAATTAGTAAAATTTTCCTCAGTTCCTTAAAACCAAGATGACTGGAGGATACAGCTTCATAAAGTACTATAAAATGCTGCACATAAATGTGCCACCAAGTAAACTTTAATATAAAGCATTTGAAGATCCCAGGGCTTCTTTTCCTCTTATACAACATTCCATTTATTCAGCCATTGATAGAACTTTTATTATCAAATGTTGATTTCCCAAATGAAACTATGACTATAGAATTATTTGAAGATGTGACTATCAGAGAGCAGCTTTCTCAAGACAGGAATTTATTTCATACTCTTTTTTTCTTAGATGTTAGTCACTTTTGAAAAATAAGGAAAAATTTTCTCATAGTCCATATACTAATACCTGATGAGTGCTTTGTGGTAATGCTATGTTGGCACCACCCAGTTAACTCACATACTCCCAAAGTCACCTTCCTGATCAGCTTCCTGAGCTATTTCTCATTGCCCTCACTTAGGTAGGATTTATGATCGGTTTTAAGGGTAATCATTTAGGAAGCAGAATGATAGAAAACTACTACCATGTGCACTTACTACTATTTCTCAAAGAAATTATCCTCTTAAAGATTGTTTCTTATTTCAAAGGAACGAAGTATCCTCAGGAATTAAAAGACCACCAAATGGTCATTCACAGTTCAAGTGATGTGGCTCACGTACTCTAAAAGCAGAATGTTAAACAGACTTTAAATTCCCAATGTGCATTTTGTAGGACACAGCAGGATATATGAGGCTAAGAACTGAACCACCAAAACACATCCTAGATAAATTTCACCAAATGAACTGCTTCCAAATGTACTCTTGTAAACAGGATAGATGAGGCTAACAACTGAACCACTGAAATGCATCATAGATAAATTTCACCAAACTGCTTCCAAATGCAATCGTGTAAACTTCCAATCCACATCTTATAGAATTTCATATAATAATGAGGAACCAACAGTTAAGCTCATGCATCTCTTCTTCTTTTTAAAGGGTCCTGATACCCTGGGATTGGAACAGATATTTCACAGCTGGAGATAATCATCCATATTCCATCATACCATTTAGTTCAACGCTTGCTGAGTTCTCAGAACTTCTCAAAAAGTACGAAATCATTCATTTCCTGTGCAATGGATAAGTTTTACTTAGTATAGATAAATTTGGAGTTTTAGTATTAATATATAATCACCATGTAAGAATAAAACTACTGGGATTTTTTTCCAGTTTTCTGAAGAGTACATTTACATATTCAAAATAAGAATTACAGGATCAATGAAAGAAATACATTATTTTTAAAGATACTTGCAAGTTAAATAAGTTGTATGAGTGACCTACACTATCATCAGCAAACCTTATTATGCACGTAATTTGTGCAAGCCCCTGTTCTGGGTTCCATGAAGAGAAATAATGAGTATATAATAGTCTTGAAAAGAGATTATAATCTACAGATAAATAATTAATACCATAGTTTCATGAAAGTTATATATAATTATCTCTTTAAATGAAGCACAAAAGTCGTTTGACTTTGTGTAATATTTTTCTTTAGACTAGCAATTATTTTAAAGTACAATCTCCAAAATATTATACTCAAGTACTATGGTGAAATGACAAATAAACAGAAATCAAAGTTTAAATCATAGGGGGATGCCAAAAAATACCATAACTTCTTGTATTGCATGAGGAAGAAAGTATTTTCTGTAAAAAATAATTGATGGATTATTTTCTCATTTGGTTTATTATTTTTACATTAGGTATAATTCTGGTCATTTTATGATTTAATGCCATGTTAATCATTAATCATTACTTTATAATTTTGCTAGAAATACTTGAAAAATAAAGGAGCCATACTTCTGGTTCAAGCTCCTGTACAGAAGTCACAATATTGCAAATATGTATGTATACACACACACACACACACTCACACACACGATATGATATGATATAAAGCAAATGCAACAGACATATGTTCTTCACTAGGCAGATAATCCAAGAAGTGAGAGGTACAGTGTTTGTGACTTTTGCCTTAGATGACAGGTTTATTCTTAAAAAGAGTATGACCCATGCATAAGTCTAATCACTTTTCCCTAAATGGAGGTAATACAGTAATATCTTCATTGATTTGTTGTGAAATAATGCATATTAAGCAGTGAATATGTCTTAGTCTGTTTTGTGCTATTCTAACAGTATACGTGAGACTGGGTGATTTATTAAGAAAAGAAATTTAGTGCCTCACAGTTCTGGAGGCTTGGAATTCCAAGATCAAGGGGTCACATCTGGTAAGGGTCTTCTTCCTGCATCATAACATGATAAAAGGCATGACATGTTGAGAGAGAGAGAGAGCTTAACTTGTTTTTATAACAAATCCACTCTCTCAACAACAAACTTGCTTCTACAATAACTACATTAATCAATTCATGAGGGCAGAGCTCTCATGACCTAATCACTTCTTAAAGGTCCCATTTCTCAACACTGTTGCATTGAGAAAAAAAGTTTCCAATGCATGAACTTTGGAGGACACATTCAAACCATAGTGGAATGGCAGCAATTACATTTTCAAAACAATAATTGAAATAGTACAGATATTATTCAGTCATTAACAACAACCAAAATATTAAATACTATTTCTCCATTATTTAGATAAAGATATTGAGGCTCTGAGAATCTGGATAACTCAGTCAAAGAAACCCACCCAGACCATGATATAGGTAAGATTTCAATCCAGACCTGTCTGATTTTTCATTTATACTAGACTGCCAACTGTATTCTGCAATTCTCAAAATCCCCCAAGGGAGGAATATTTATTTTTATGTTTCTTATTGTCATTTATAGTCCCTGTATTGGTTTGCTAGGACTGCTGTGACAAGGTATCAAAATTTGCTGCCTTAGAATAACAGAAATTTATTGTCTCAGTTCTGGACGCTAGAAAGCAGATCAAGGTGCTAGCAGGGTTGGTTCCTTCTGAGGGCTGTAAGAGGAAATCTGTTCCAGCTCTCCCTCCTAGCTTCTGGTGGTTTCCTAGCAAGCTTGGGTATTCCTTGGCTTCTGCTATGACACCCAGATCTCTGTCTCCATCTTCACATGCTGTTCTTCCTGCATGTGTGTTCTTGTCCAAGTTTCTTTTATTTTATAAGGATTCCAGTCATATAGGATTAGAAATCTATCCTACTCCAGTATGACCTCAACTTAATGAATTACATTTGTAAAAACCGTATTTCTGAATAAGGTCACATTCTGAGCTATCAGGGATTAGAACTAAAAAATATGACTTTTGGGCTACACAATTCAACCCATAACAATTTCTGAAGGAAAAACATCTTTTCAAATAGGCAGGCCACTGTTCATCAATGTAATTTACCCACAAAGCGGTTGCTGTGTTGATACTGAGGTGGGGAATAGGCCCCAGAGTTCCAGCCTGTCCCAGACCAATTGCTTTGCTGAGAACAGCCCACACAATAGCTCTCATGGCTTGGAGTCAGATACCAGAGCTCTTTTAGGTTGGCATTGCACACTGGTGTCTCTACAGTTCTAGGGTCTTAGGGCCATACCTGCCCCATGGCTCCACTGGGCATTTCCCTAGTGTGTGCTTTCTGAAAGGGCTCAGCCCTTCTGGCAGCTCTCTCCCTGGGTCATGTGCCCAAGGCCCCTGGCAGCTCCATTTTTTGAAATCTAGGTGGAGGCAGCTGTAATGGGGTTGACTGCTGAATCAAATGATTCAGCATTTTAACTTTCTGAGGAATTGCCATACGGCTTTCCACAATGGTTGAATTAATTTACACTCCCATCAACAGTGTATAAGTGTTCCTGTTTCTCCACAACCTCACCAGCATCTGTTATTTTTTTACTTTTTAATAATAGTCATTCTGACTTGTGTGAGATAGTACCTCACTGTGGTATTGATTTGCATTTTTCTAATGATCAGTGATATTCAGCCAAGGCATAGGGGATAGAACTCTATCAAAGAGGGGCTTTGGGCACCTCTTTGATAGAGTTCTGTCCCCTATTCCTTGCATGGGACCTTTGCACTTGTTTCCAGGTGCTGCCTCAAGGTTCTACTCCCTGCATTCTGGTGCCACACTGCTCAGCTGCCCCAGGTAGGCTGAAGGCTGCAGTGACCTCCCCTCTGGAAGGCACAGGTGGTAAATCTTGGCAGTGTCCACACATTGCCATCTCCACCAGAAGGCACAGCCCATGAGCTGTGGGGGCACAGGATGCAAGGTTTGTTCAACATACACAAATCAATAAATGTCATTCATCGCATAAATAAAACTAAAAACAAAAAGCACATGATTATCTCAATAGATGCCGAAAAGGCTTTCAATAAAATTCAACACCCATCATGTTAAAAAATTCTCAATAAACTAAATATTTAAGGAACATACCTTAAACTAATAAAAAGCATCTATGACAAACCCACAGCCAATATTATAGTGAATGGGCAAAAACTGGAAGTACCCTCCTTGAAAACTGACACAAGAGGAGGATGCCCTCTCTCACCACTTCTATTCAACTTAGTATTGGAAGTCTTAGCCAGAGCAATCAGACAAGAGAAAGAAATAAAGAGCATCTGTATAGGAAGAGAGGAAGTCAAACTATCTCTGCTTGCAGATGACATGATTCTATATCTAGGAAATACCATAGTCTTGGCCCAAAAGCTCCTCCAGCTGATAAACAACTTCAGCAAAGCTGCAGGATACAAAATCAATGTACAAAAATCACTAGCATTCCTATACACCAGCAACAGCCAAACCAAGGACCAAATCAGAAAGGCAATCCCACTCACAATTGCACAAGAAGAATAAAATACCTAGGAATACAGCTAACTAGGGAGGTGAAAGATCTCTACAACAAGAATTACAAAACACTCTTCAAAGAAACCATAGAAGACACAAATGAAAAACATCTTATGCTCATGGATAGAAACAATCAGTATCATTAAAATGACTAAAGAAATTTACAGATTCAATGCTATTCCTATCAAACTACCAATGACATTCTTCACAGAACTAGAAAAAAAGTATTTTAAAATTTATATGGAACAAAAAAGGACCTGAATAGCCAAGGCAATCCTAAGCAAAAAGAACAAAGCTGGGGGCATCACAGTACCCAACTTCAGACTATATACTACAAAGCTACAGTAACCAAAACAGCATGATACAAAAACAGGCACATAGACCAATGTAACAGAATAGAGAGTTCAGAAATAAGGCCACATGTCTACAACCATCTGATCTTCGACAAAGCTAACAAATACAAGCAATGGGGAAAGGACTCCCTATACAATAAATGGTGCTGGGTTATAACCATATGCAGAAGATTGAAGCTGGGCCCCTTCCTTCCACCATATACAAAAATCAACTAAAGATGGATTAAAGACTTAAATGTAAAATCCAAAACTATAAAAAAGCCAACCTAGGCAATACCATCCTGGACATAGGCATGAGCAAAGAATTCATGGTAAAGACACCAAAACCAATTACCACAAAAGCAAAAATTGACAAATGGGATTTAATTAAACTTAAGAGCTTCTGCACAGCAAAAGAAACTATCAATAGAGTAAACAGACAACCTACAGAGTGGGAGAAAATATTTGCAAACTATGCACCTGACAAAAGTCCAATATCCAGCATCTCTAAGAAACTTAAACAAATTTACAAGAGAAAAGCAACTCCATTAAAAAGGTGGGCCAAGGATATGAACAGGCACTTCTCAAAAGAAGGCATACAGGCAGCCAACAAGCATATGAAAAAAACCTTGAGATCACTTTTGCTCTTGTTGTCTGTGCTTTTGAAGTCTTCTCCATGAAATCTTTTCACAGACCAATGTCCTGAAGCATTTCCCCTATGTTTTCTTCAGTAGTTTTATAATTTCAGGTCTTATATTTAAGTCTTTAATTCATTTTGAGTGATTTTTATATATGGTGAGATATAAAAAAATCTAGTTTTATTTTTTTGCATAAGGATATACAGGTTTCCCAGCACCATATATCGAAGAGACTATCCCTTTCCCAATGAATGTTGTCACTACCTTTCTCAAAACATTCAGTTGGCTGTCAGTATAGCCAACTAATTTTAGATTTATTTCTGCATTCTCTATTCTGTTCCATTGGTCTATGTGTCTGTTTTTATGCCAATACCATGCTGTTTTGATTATTATAGCTTTGTAAGATATTTTGAAGTTTGGTGGTGTGATGCCTCCAGCTCTTTTTGTTCAAGATTTCTTTGGCTATTTGGGGTCTTTCATGATTCCATACAAATTTCAGAATTTTGTTTCCTATTTATGTTAAGAATATCATTGGCATTTTGATAGGAATTGCATTGAATCAGTCTCTTTGAGTAATATGGTCATTTTAACAATATTAATTATTCTAATTCATAAACATAGGATGTCTTTACATTTGTGTCCTCTTCAATATCTTTCATCATGTTTCATAGTTTTCTTTGTAGAGATCTCTTATCTCCTTGATTAAGTTTATTCCTAGATATTTGTTGTTGTTAGCTATTATAAATAGAACTACTTTCTTGATTTCTTTTTCTGCTAGTTTGTTGCTTCACATCTTTGAATTTTTATCACTAAAGATTGTTCACTGACATTTCTACCCCAGCAATTACTTGTCATTACCAAGGTGAGATATTCCTGCCTCAAGATGTTTATCTGTGTTTATCCTGGTTTTTAGAGCAGCATCACTGACTGACTTGGGCCATTCAGTTGACCTGTGCCTCACCCAGTCTATCCTTGTAGATGATGGGATATTTTTCCTACAAATGGCCAAAACTATCTTTTGAGGCACCGCCAAACTTACTCAATTTATTTTTAGTTTCTGAAATTCACGACATAATAGTAACCAAAAGCATATATTACATCTGTGTTGAACTTCTCTTGATCTGAAGTGGAGAGTATGTCTAGTCCTAAAATTTCATGTTTTTGTGTTTATGAATATACCCTCTTATTCAGAAATAAAAAATTTAAAAATCCAATATCACAGCATTTATAAAAATACTAAAAAGTATATTAGATATATAAAAAATATGTGGAGGTCCATAAGTTCCTTAATAATTAGCTGTAATTCTCATGGAGTGATAAAAGAAAGTTTAAGTGTTCATCTTTAGGGTCTGGCAGGATCGAATTCAAGTTCTATTTCTGCCACCCCCTATTTCTGTGACCTTGAGCAAGTTAATTAACCTCAAAAACCTCGTGTGTAAAATGGAAAATTAAAAGCACCTACACAAAAGGTTGTATTTGTGTAAAACAGTGCTTCTGAAACTCGCCAGTGATCAAAATCACCTGAAAAACATTAAAAGCACAGATTTCATGACCTTTCCTCCAGAGATCCAGGTACACGGCTCAAAATGAATGTTTTTAATAACTTTCCCAAATAATCAGGATCATCACGCAAGTTTAGGAACTGTTGCCATACTGCACAGTTCATATTCCATTCAGTAAATGTTAGTGTTATTTACATTTTTTTACATTTGTCAAAATTTATTTTCCTAGAGAACCTTGGAAAGGAGGCTGGTTAGATGTTTACCAAGCCAGTTTCCCTTTCCTAGTCACACTACTGAACTACAATTCCCAGGACTTGCTCTAGGTGATCCTATGAGATTAACCATGTCAGCAGAAATAGTATCTCTTCTTTCTCTTCATCTCCCTCCCTCCAGTTTGATGGTGGTATATAATCTAATGTGAACTTGAAAACTAAGTTTAAAATGTCAAAACAGGCTGGCCACGGTGGGTCATGCCTGTAATCCCAGCACTTTGGGAGGCTGAGGCAGGTGGATTACTTGAGGTCAGGAGTTCAAGGCCAGCCTGACCAGCATGGTGAAACTCCGTATCTGTTAAAAATGCTAAAAAATTAGCCAGGCATGGAGTCCCAGCTACTTGGGAGGTTGAGGCAGGAGAATCACTCGAACCCGGGAGGCAGAAGCTGCAGTGAGCGGAGATCAAGCCATTGCACTCCAGCCTGAGCAACAGAGAGAGACTCCATCTCAAAAAAAAAAAAAAAAAAGTCAAAATAGCAGTCTGTAAATTACGTAAGATCCTAAATGATTTTATTGCACCAAACCTCCCACTAATCCATATGGGACTGCAACATGAGAGAGGAATAATACTTTATTGTGTTAAGCCACTGACTTTTGAAGTTGTTTCAGCAATCAGCATTACATATCTTAACACATCCACATTACATCATCTAGGATTGCTGAAACTGCTTTTATTTCCTTCATTCACACTTCCTCTCTGCAGTTCAGCTTGCATACCCACTGCCTGACACTAATTTTAAAACTGCATTTCCATCACCTCACCTGCCTATACACACATATATTAGTGGCTTCTTTTATTTTTCTCATCAGGTCAGAATTCCTCACCTTGGTTTTTAAAACCCTAAGTAGCTCATGCCAACTATCCAAACTTTATTTCCAAAGTGTGAAAAATACAGCTTAAGTATAAAGAAATAGGGAGCTATAAAGAAGATGATTTTTTCTTCCTGGAATTCTTATTTCACGTGGAGTCAGAAGCACATAACATAGCATATAATTTTTCTGGGTTTTAAAAAAATATATAAAATAGCTCTATCTCCTCCCCTGGGGTAAGACACTATTGAGTGTGGTGCCTTACACATTTTTTTACCCAGTCCTATCTCTGGCACCATACTAAATATACAGCAAGAGTGCAATAAAACCTTGGTGTTTGATTATGGAGCCTGATTTTACACCTCCTTTCTCATGTGGAAAGTGTTTATTTCTTAAGTGTGGTCCCTTACACAAACTGCTAAGATAATGGCAGGTGAGAGCAACTAGACAAAGTGTTCTATTTCATAATAAGCAATCGAATGACTAACAGCTGCATGATATTTCCTGGATTACATAAACGTGTTGAGAGCCACTATGCACAAGACACATTTCAGCTCCACGTGTTCTGATAAACATGTTGAGAGCCACTATGAGAGCCACTATGCACAAGACACATTTCAGCTCCATGTGTTCTGATAAGTAGCTTTTGTTCCCAGTTACTTGGAAGTTTACATAAAAATATAGAAACTACCTAAATCATTAGATTTTTAAATGGATAATATTAGAGGAGAAAAGAACCATAAAAATTATGTAGTCCATCTCCTTCATTTTATAGATGGAGAAAATGCCATGTTGGAAACAAGACTTGACCAAGAACCAAGTGTCTGCAGTTCTGGTTTCAATTCCACGTGTATGGTTTGAGCAAGCCACTCAGTTTTTCTGGGTCTCAATTAGTCACGTATAAATTAAGGGAACAGAATGAACAATTTAAATTTAAGAATGAACGTATAATTTAAGGCCCCTTCCAGCTCTAGAATTCTAATTCTATATGCTTATTAAGTACTTTTTATTCAAAATTTTAAAAAAACATTAATTTACAAGCCCACATAAATAACTATGATTACTTATTTAAAAACTTCGAAAAATTCTTGGGATATACTGAGTTAATACAAGTACTATAATATTCTACTTAGCAAAAATATGGCAATGCTAAATTAATGAACCTTTAGTTTAGATCAATATCAATGAATTAAAACAAAACTAAAATTACGGGCTTTTTAAAAAATCTGTTTTTAATAGATTTTGCCCGTGTTGCTTTTTAAAAATCTATTTTTGAGCATATAATGAGTGAATTTTCCCCAGTACCTAGGTTATGACATGGACATAAATTAGGCATATAAAGAAAATGAACTTTTATAAGTCACCACATTACTACTAATGCACAGTAATAAATTACTAAATGGTACCCATAAGGTTTGAGAAAAAAAGTACAGTTTTCACAGTGACTTATTCGAATAATGTTGTCTACAAATCAGATTTGTTCTTATTCACTCCAAACTGTATATAATTCAGTTGTCAGCATGAAATCTCTGCCCTTTAAACTCTAAGTAAAATTGTCACCAAAGTCCCACCTCTATTCCGAAGCCTGCGCAAGCTGAAAGGCTTTCTCAGGTTGCCAGTGAACTAATGGAGGCCTCCTCTGCATTCTTAGAGGTGGAGTCTCTGTTTTGCTTCTTAGCAAAACAAATGTAATTTCAACAGCCACTTCTTGCATTTCCACAGAAGCAACATCTGCATTATTAAGAACAGAACACCTTACTGAAGGTCAGGATCATGAGAAGGAGTCACCTAACAATTTTAAGATTCTTTCTAGACATTCCTTTCCTCCAAGGGCCCTTCCACTCTCTGTGCTCACACATATCTCTCCTGGCATCTCCCCCATGTTGCACACTTCCCTTGTCTTTCTTAATATTCCAATGCAACAAAAGCAAAAAAAAAAAAAAAAAAAAAAAAGCCTTTCCTTGCCTCATAGAGAGCAACTCAATCTTCTTTTCTAAAACTTTCTTCAATGCTCAGAGTCTTGGGGTCTCACCTGTATTTCTAAAGCCTGTTAAGATATTTTTCCTAAATAATCTCCTTGTAAGTCTGGATTCTTTTTGTTGAAAGTTACTGGAACCATGAAAACTACCTTAAGCTATGAAGGGGAAATTTTTGGCATCTGTAACTGGGAAGTGTGGAGTGGACCCTAGAACAGGCACGTGACATCAAGACACTCTCACTGACTCTGCTTCTCTCTGGGTGTTGACTCTGTTCTCTCAGACCTGTTCATGTTGTGAGGGATATGGTGACTGGCACCTCAGGGTCATATCATTAGAGCTCACAATTCAAGTGAAAAAAGAGATCCACATAATATCCATTATTGCCATTTTTCAGAAGCAGGATGGATCCTTACTCAAAGTTTGAATCAGATGTCAAAACTGATGACACCACACATGCACCATGAAGGCATTAAAATGGGTTACTACTTATATAATGAAGTTTTCTAGGAAAGCAGGATAGACTTTCCAAGCTGGGTTTAGAAAAGAAAAGGCAACTGATCTAAGGCTTGTATTGTGGTTAGGAGGTGGGGGTCTGGGTGAGGATTCCCAAGCGTGGGCAGGGGCTTATGTGGCTTGAATCATCCACCATCACCAAAGGAGAGAATACTGGCTTTTTTATTATCAGCTTTCCCAGAAGCAGAAGGGAAGACAGAGGAGTGAGGCTTAAAAGTGGTTACAGTCAAAACTAAAACATGCAGTCAAACTCTTTATCACAACACCTCAACTTGAGTCACACATCCAACTGTTGGAATCACCATTGCATCCAGGAGATCATAGCCCTATGACAGATCTTATGCTCACATGATCACATCGTGACTATTGGGCCAAGATGCTGAAACCAGCAGTCCCACAAGATCGAATGTAATGGGTTGTGGGAAAGGAATGGGTCTCAAAGAAAAGAGATATGCTCTTGTTAGAAGAAGTTGACACAGTATGCTGAGAAGAAAAAAATACAACAAAATAAAACATTAACACAATATTTCAATGAAAATATTATGAAGCCACCTCATAAGATTTTTTAAAGTGTCCACTTATTTGTTTGTATAATTGGTAACACAAGTAATCTGCAGAATTGCACAATACAAAAAGCACAGGAGTCTGGATTCAAAATATACTAGATAAGAATGTAGGCTGTTTCACCAGCTGTGGGGACTTGGGCAAAAATAAAAGTAAAAGAAGAAGATAAAAGGGGAAAATGAAGGCTTTCCAAGAGTGCTTACTAAGTGCCAATCATCATGCTAAGTGCTTCAGATGAGTTATCCATTTAATCTCCCATTAGAACCTTATGATTTTGAGGCTGTTATAACCTCCACTTTATTCATATAATGATAGAAAACCAGCAAGAGAACTCTAAGTTTGTTAGACTTTAAAGGCTAAATCTTATAGACTGTTTCAATGAGTATTCATCATACTCTTAGTGATCACTGGCATGCCACTAATTTGTTTTGCTTAGCAGCCTTATATTTTGTTCCAAAATTCATCATCTGTGATTCAGAAACTAAGATGTTTCTTTATTCAGCATCATCTAATCTCAAGCTATAAGATGCTGTTGTCTGTCATGGTAACTTTATATCTTAATTTGGGGAAATCAATAAGAGCAATAGGGCAGTATTCCTATCACTAACAGAAATCAGGAATGAAAATGTACTTGTGTGAAACAAATAACAGAAGGGCCTCTGAAAGACATACACACAAACCATAAAATACCAGGGGAAGTTCTGAAATCTGCCACCATAAGTTATTGCTATCACAAGGTGTAAAATCAGTAATGACAACAGCAATGATTCAAGTTAATTGAATTCTGAACTCCCTTATTCTTATCTTCACACCCAAATTGGTGCCCAGGCCTCTGTTTCTGACTAAAATAATCTATATAAAGCCTTTCACTCTCTCCTTCCATATTTTGCATACTGTGTAAGAAATAAAATTAAATTTCTCTTTCTGTAAGCAATTCACAAAATGGTTATGTACTACATCCTTTTCTCATTTTTTCTGCAAAAGTATCCTCAGTTTGAAATGGTCTTTTTTTATGTTATGTGCCACACATTGTTCTAAGCTCTGGAATACAAGACAGACAGTTCATTACTTTGCAGAGTTCATATTATAGAAGATAAATGCAGACAATAAAAATAAACAAATGAAAGATTGTTTCATATGGTGATAATTGCTTTGAATTATGTGACGATGACTGAAAAGAGGCTAGCAATTTTAGATTGGGTATAAGGAAATATCTTTCTATGAATGAATATCAATTAGACAGTCAGTATTCTGCTCTGGTAACAAGTGATCCCAAAATCTCAGTAAGGCTGTCTGCTCCATGTCAGACACCCTCCAGGGTAAGTGATGTTTGTACAGTGACTGAGCAGCACAGGACAGTGGGGTCTCTACCTTCCTGCAGCTGTACCATCTGAAACCCACATCCTTACTTGATATGGCAGTTGAAGAAAGACTGAAAAATAGCATAGTCAGTGACTTTTCACTGTCACTCACCCTCAAAGCCCATTGGACAGAACCAGTCACACAGCCCTGCCTCATGCCAACCATTCACTGATGTTCTTCCCTCAAGATGTGTACTCTTTAACTAGGTACTCAGGGACTATCTTGACCTGTGCAGTACCCTGTTCATGTCCCCACTTCTTTCCCTGTTAAAGAAAGGGTAGGATGGGGGTGTATTCAGATCTTCACATATTTCTCCTACTCCTTGAAAAGCTCTTCTTGCCACCATTCACTGCCCTCACTTTCTCTGGAAATAATTTTTACTTGTGTTTGGTAACTTGAGATACTGGAGATACTAGTCATCTCCTCTAGGGAATCTTCTGTGACTCTCCCATGCTGGGTAAGTGTCCTCTTCTATGCTCCCACAGTACCCTGTGCTTACCATTGTTACTCTAGTACTTGTTTCTCTGCCAGAATCTCCATTAAACAGCAAAGTTATGGGGAGCATAACTGACCTCCTAAGTATAGAATCCCAACATTTGTTCTTAAAACAGAAGATTCAGTTAAATATTTGTTCAAAAAAATTGGGAGAAAAATACAAATTGTGTGCTGGATTTATTTATTAATGACACCATGTATCATTCATAAAATAATGGTATCATTCACAAAATAATGGAGAGAATAATGGGAACAAGTATGTTTGATGTAAGAAGAAAGAAAACTGGAATTCTCTACCTTGTCAAATACTCAGCTGAAAGTATTATGGATATTCACTTAAAGTTTGGACATAATAAATCTGAGATACTATTAGAATAACTATGTAAACATATCCAAAAGATAGGTTAGACTGATATCCAGTTGTCATGGATGAAGACACAGATTTGACATTCATCCACCAGCTGATAAATGGTGCCATAGACTCCCTGTGTGAAAATACCTGAATGGAAATATAATAATAGGGCAAGGCTGAGTCAAAAGCCAAGAGCAGGCAGCATCCTGAAGCCAGATACTGTTAGAAATCCTAAAGGGTATAGTCTATGTAAACAGGAGAAAATGGAAAAAGTGTGAGGTTCAAATTAATTCTATTACACTTTTTATTTGTGTTCAGCTTAATTTTGCTGTTCCAACTATGCCCCACATCATGTTTACATCCCCCACAATTCCGTGATGCATAAAAGCTAATACTATTTCTGAAAAGTAGGAGTCAAAGAGATATTTGTAATAAAGAGGAAAAGAACAATGTGGATTGAAAGGGACAAGGGATGCATGAAATAGAAGAGAGAAAGAGAGGGTAGGAGAGGAGATTTAGCATAAAATCTTAAGGGGCAAATATATTTTGAAGGAGAAGAAAAATAGCTGAAGGGTTAGAGAAGTAACAGTTATACAGATGTGAGTATAATCATGGTTTATTTCTAGTGATTAATTCCAAATTCATTAAATGAAGGAAAGAGCCAGAGGGAAAGAAAGAGAAGAGGGAAAGCCAATAGGAATTAATGTAAATTAGTTATTACTTAATGTTGAAACAATTTTCAATTTACAATTAGCTACTGGGAATTCTCTGAAAAGAAAATTGTTTTATTTACCAGTTGAAATGCTGCTTCCATCTAATTTTACTTCTCATATCATTCTTCTTTGATGCAAGGGCTAGTTAATTGTCAACATCAGTCTGGCAAATGCAACGTATTTGCTGGGGCTACCTGACTGCAAAAAAGAGAATGTGGCTGAAATAGGCCATTCAATATACAATACTTCAGCTCATGAGGACAGTCCCTTGAAATCAGTGCTTAAAACCTTCCTGTTTTGTGCAATTTCCGGAGCTATACAGATTGCAGTAAACTGGAGGCAGAAAATCTTTTGTCCATGTCAGCTTAACTCTAGTCCTGCACATATTGCTGGAATGGAGTTGTCCTTCAAGCCTCTTTGATTTTGATTTCACTCATCCAGATTTTGCAATATATAGACTCATTCTGGAATGAAGTTTGTTTTTCCTAAAACTGAAAAATGCTCTGAGTTTCCATTTCTAGAAAATATCTAACCAAATGATTTTTGAAGTATATTCTGCAGAATTAATATTTATCTTTTAAATGTTAAACTCAGGAATAAGCAAAGTCAAGCAGCTTTGTTTAACATGGAATTTCTAAGTTTTAAATATATGTTATTGTCTATTATGATATTCCCCAAGGCAGTTATACAATGAAGTTTTTCCAAAGGTTATCTCAACTTAGAACATCTTTGTCATAGAACACATTTTAGAAAATATTAGTCTAGCTTAAAGCATGTCAGTGCAGATTATATTTATTTTTGGAACATCTACTACGTGACTGGCATTGTGCTGGCACAATCTTGAGAAGCAGACTGAATTCCTGTCTGGATAAGACAGACATTAAATCATAATTAATTTCATAATTCTAAGTGTGCAAATTACTGAAAGAGAAAAATTCAGGGGAATCTAACCTAGTCTGGGAGGTGAAGGAAGGCTTCACTATGAAATGATGTTTAGTCTAAGATTTGCAAGATGAGTGTGAGTTTGTTAAATGAAGAGAAACAACAAGAGCATTCCAGGTATAGGAAATAGCAAATACAATGGATCTGAGCCAGAAGAAAGTCTGGCCAATCTGAACAATAGCTAACAGTCTAGTAGAGCTGAAGGACAGAAGTGCAGCCCTCATGGAGCATCCTTTCTGTTTGGAGAAGACAGGTTCTATACAACACCCTTCTAATTCCAACCCATAGGGAATCTCTTTTCCCAGCCAGTTATGAACTAGCTGTTCAAGACTACACACTCACCAAAAATAATCTGAAAGGCAAGAATAAACATAAAAGTCATCTCTTTGAAGTCACTGGAGAGCTACCAAAGCAATTACAACCTAAAGAAACATGATTCCAGAGAAAAAGCGAAGCCCAGAGAGGTGAGGCAAATGTTGGGAACCTCTCTTACCCTGCAGGCATTAGCTAGTTTGAAAGCTTTAGATGAGAAAAAAAGAATCTAAGCAGAGCACTCAGCATTTTCACAGGGGTAAAGACACAAAAACTACATTCAGGGCCTGCCAAGAAGAGACACAGGTTAAAATACTGAAGGCCTTCAGCTGGGAAAACTAAAAGACCAAAGGAAAACCTTGAGATGGGAAAATCAAAAAAACAACCTCTGACTAAAGAGTGTTCACAAAGGCAAAACTCCAGCTTTAAATCAACTTGATCTCTGTTTAAAATGCCCTATCCTACCCTAACTTCCTGCAAGAAGCAAAAGTAAATTCTTTCAGGAGAAAGAGGTCATCATTTCAAACCTCATGTTACCTCTACAAATTGTAATTCACAATGGAAGTCTATGTAAGTCAAAAGAAAGCACCCATATTAAAGAAGAAAACTAAAAAATAATGGAAAATACAGGATACTGCTTAAGAAACATTTGGGGCTTGGTAAAAGTGTCTAACATATCTTGAAATCTCAGCAAGAGGAGTGAGGAATGGAGCAGAGCAATATTTCAAGAGCTAATGACCAGAAGTTTTCTAAACTAATGAAAAATATTAAGGCGCAGGTACAAGATGCACTGTAATTCCCAAACAGGAAAAATACAAAGAAAACCACATCCAGACATACAATAACAAAACTGTAAAAAATAAAAGATAAAGAGACAATCTTTAAAACAGCATGAGAGAATAGGAAGTATTACTTCTTCTTTTTGTTTTTTTAATGCTTCAAGTCCTGGGATACATGTGCAGAATGTGCAAGTTTGTTACATAGGTATACACATGCCATGGTGGTTTGCTGCACCCATCAACCCAGCATCTACATTAGGTATTTCTCCTAATGCTATCCCTCCCCTAGCCCCCCAACCCCCGAAAGGCCCTGGTGTGTGATGTCCCCTCCCTATGTCCACATGTTCTCATTGTTCAACTACCACTTACGAGTGAGAACATGTGGTGTTTGGTTTTCTGTTCCTGTGTTAGTTTTCTGAGAATGATGGTTTCCACCTTTATCCATGTCCCTGCAAAGGACATGAACTAATCCTTTTTTATGGCTGCATAGTATTCCATGGTATATATGTGCCACATTTTCTTAATCCAGTCTATCATTGATGGGCATTTGGGTTGGTTCCAAGTCTTTGCTATTGTGAACAGTGCTGCAAGAAACATATGGGTGCATGTGTCTTTCTAGTAGAATGATGTATAATCCTTTAGAAATATACCCAGTAATGAGATTGCTGGGTCAAATGGTATTTCTGGTTCTAGGCCCTTGAGGAATCGCCATACTGTCTTCCACAATGGTTGAACTAGTTTACACTCCCACCAACAGTGTAAAAGCCTTCCTATTTCTCCACATCCTCTCTAGCATCTGTTGTTTCCTGACTTTTTAATGATCACCATTCTAACTGGCATGAGAATGGTATCTCATTGTGATTTTGATTTGCATTTCTTTAATGATCAGTGATGATGAGCTTTTTCTCCTATGTTTGTTGGCCACATAAATGTCTTCTTTTGAGAAGTGTCTGTTCATAACCTTCACCCACTTTTTTGATGGGGTTGTTTTGTTCTTGTAAATTGTATAAGCTCCTCGTAGATTATGGACTTCACAGAATTAGAAAAAACTACTTTAAATTTCATATGGAACCAAAAAAGAGCCCATATAACCAAGACAATCCTAAGCAAAAAGAACAATGCTGGAGGCATCACACTACCTGACTTCAAACTATACTACAAGGCTAAAGTAACCAAAACAGCATGGTACTGGTACCAAAACAGATATATAGATCAATGGAACAGAACAGAGGCCTCAGAAATAATGCCACACATCTACAACCATCTGATCTTTGACAAACCTGACAAAAACAGCAATGGGGAAAGGATTCCTTATTTTATAAATGGTATTGGGAAAACTGGCTAGCCATATGCAGAAAACTCAAACTGGATCCCTTCCTTACACCTTTTACGAAAGTTAACTCAAGATGGATTAAAGACTTAAAACATAAGACCTAAAACCATAAAAACCCTAGAAGAAAACCTAGGCAATACCATTCAGGACACAGGCTTGGGCAAACACTTCAGGACTAAAACACCAAAAGCAATGGCAACAAAAGCCAAAATTGACAAATGGGATCTAGTTAAACTTAAGAGCTTCTGCACAGCAAAAGAAACTATCTTCAGAGTGAACAGGCAACCTATGGAATGGGAGACAATTTTTGCAATCTATCCATCTGACAAAAGAAGCATTACTTCTAAAGAATCAAAAATAAGATTGAAGAAAGCTGGCTTCTCAACAACAACAAAAAAGCAGAAGCCAAAAAATATCTTCAAAATGTTGAAAGAAAATAACTGCCAAGCTAGAATTTCTATATCCAGTCAAAAATTTACTCAAAAAAAGAAGGTGAAATAAAAACATATTCAAATAAATAAAAACAGAGGATTATACTCCAGCAGACCTATACTAAAGAGATACCAACATGAGGTTTTCAGGCAGAAGAATCATAATCGTAGATGGAAGCATGGCAATAAAAAAAAAAAGAAGACTGATGGAAAAAGTAAATATGTAAACAAATATAAATAAAAGTTGCCTGTATTTTAAAAAATGAGGTCTTGATGTTGTGTGTGTGTATGTGCATATGTGTGTTATATAAACACAGAATAGAAATAGCACAAAAGCCTAGTAGAGACTACATTAAATGTTCTAAGACTCTTGCATTTCCCAAGAAGTAATAAAACAACAAATTTATATTGTACCTTTTAAGCCAAGGTTGCAGGCTATAAAATATATAGCAACTACTAAAGAAAAATAAAAGGATGTAAAACTAACAATTAACAAGGAAATACTGAATTAAAATTCTTAATTGAACTTCTGGTTGTACCGTGATGGATTAGGTACTGAACTTTCCCTGCCACCATAAAACAACTGGAAACCTGGACCAATTATATGAAACGGATGTTTCCAGAGATTAAAATAAAGGCAACAGAGGACTGTGAGTCCAGAGGAAAGAAAAATAAATGACATAGGACTGACTATTGCCACAGCTTTCCATGTAGAGTCATTTTCAAGGCTACAACACAAGAATGATTTAACCAAACAGAGCATGGATGGCTCACTGAATTGAGAATCTAGAAATCGGAGTTTGAGGAGAGTGTGGTGGTTGGAATTTGTGGTACAAACTCCCATAGAGAAGGAAGATATGCAGAAAAAGAGATCCTGTAATCTGCACAGGAATTCCTTGAGTCCACTACTAAATAACCAGCTGTGCATGGATAGGGTAATGTAAAAAGCTATCAAGATCCAACTGAACAAGTTTAAAGGCTCAGGCAGGGCTGGGAGACATTCTAGTTCCAAACAGTCAGTGTGGAGAAGTGTTTTTAAACATCCAGAGGATTAGATAAGGTTCCAGAAGAGTGATGCCTTAGTAGTAGAGCTAAACCAGCTGCAGCATGAAGGCTACCTTCAATCTGCTCTTCAGAAAACGATGAAGAGGAAAAAAAAAGCCTTGAAAGGAGTAAGCTGATCCACAAAAGCAAACACAAGAGAAAGGCATAAAGCTTACTCAAAGAGTCTTACCTCTATCAAGGCTCTCTGCTGAACATATAGTATGGGTCTGTGTTCAGGACAATGACTTCTATTGCTTTCTTTTCTTGTAGGACAAGGTGAGAGCAATAGTATTGATAAAAACTAAACAGACTACATATAGCACCACTATCCAATAGAAACTTAACACAAGCCACAAACATGACTTTAAATTTTCTAGTAGCCACACTTTAAAAGCAGATAAAATTAATTTTGATACTCTAGTTTATTTAACCCAATATATTCAAATGTAATCATTTTAGCATGTAGCCAATTTTAAATAATTATTGAGATACTTTATATTTTTCATGCAAAGTCTTTGAAATACAGTGTGTATTTTACACTTTCAGCAATCTCAGTTTAGACTAGCTTCAGTTCAAGTGCTCTACAGTCATATGTGGCTAGTGGCTACCATATTGAACAGCACAGGGCTGAAGCAGAGGAGTCCAGATTGGAGGTTCCAGCTGTGTATAGAGTTGTATAAGAAAGCAAGAAGCTGGAGACCTTCAGCTCATAGGAAGCTGGGGAGAGAAGTCATCAATCCCTTGGGAAACTAACCATAGAAAGCTGAGTTTGGGTATAGTCACTTATAATCTGCCAGGGTTATTTTGAGGCAATCCTGCTTGTCACATCATAGAAAGATATTGGTAATATCCAAAGCATTTAATTAATGTGTCTGTCACCTTTCGTAGCTCTTCTAAGAGCTTAATTAGACCGTAAGATAAACAGGAACAACCCACTTCAAGACTGTTCAATCTTTCAATGACTGGCCTCCAGATGGGAGGACATAATATGCAAAATGGGAATAATATGCAAACTGATAAAGATCCATTCTGTAATGGATTAATCATATTTAATAAAAGCATGTCATTTATTGGAAAATAATCCACCTACCTTATTCCTAGTAGTAAAATAGTAGTCTATCTAAGAACTATAAATAGAGAAACGGAGTAGCTCTTGCTCATGGAGAAAATCCAGTAGGCCAAAGGGCACATATATCTAGACCTTATACATATTAGATACCATGTCATTTGTTTATGGTTCCAGATTTTTCATGCTGCTCAGTGGTATAAAATACTTAGTTTTCCCAGATAGTCTGCATAGTGTAATTCACACTGTAATTCATAATGTAATTCCCAGTGTAGTCATATTGTAATTCATAGGTCTTAGTCACAGAAGGAAGATGTATCTCCTTTGGTCCCTTAAACAGTAATTGGCCACATTTCAGCTAAAAGTGACAAAACCAGAAATACTCAGAAAGCTTGTTTTGGGTAACTGAGTACAAGGTGAATTTTGTCTGGCTCAGTGATTATAAATGTCCTGAAGGCAACATATGGTCAAGTCTCACTTAGTAAATGTGCTTGCTGAGTCTCTGCATTTCTCCTTCCAATTTTGCATTCAAGCCCTATTTAGTAATTTTCAGATTCTTTAGAATACTTCTTTAATCCCTCTATTTAAGGAGTATGCTATAAAAACAAGAGAGCATTTCTTTCAAATTCACATGTAAAACCTCTCCAGTCAGTTTTATAGGATTCTTGCCTGTAGCCAGGATTCTCAACTGAATTCTGTGGCAAATGCTCCTTTCTAAATGGCTTTCCTTTGGAAAAACTACGCAGCTGAAAACATAAACACGCATGCAGGCACAACCCTAAATAAGACTATGTAACTTTGAGCTTGGGGACTTATCTGCACATCGATTTGGATTTGGGTGCAATAGCAGCAGACATTTACTATATCCTTTTAGAATAAATATTTTTGAGAGAATTTCTGGAAGGTTATTAACAACATGACAACAACAATAATAATATCTATTCAATAGCTATTGAGTGCTCATTACATGTGGTGAGCTAAGCACATCACATGGTTCTTTAATTCCATTTGTGCAACAAACTTTGAGGGAGATATTCTAATTTTCTGAGGGAATGTTGGGGGAAAAAGTAACTTGTCCAAATTTATCCAGCTAAAAATGGAGCTGAGTTTGAATCCAGATAGTTTGATTTCAGGTTTCATTCTGCTTCTTGTTACATATACTGATTCTCATTTGTGAAAGACCTAAATCTCTCTTACACTTCAAAATCAATTCATACTCCTCCAATAACCCTCTCTGCATTCCATCCTGGATCTAAAACAGTTAATTATTTTTTATCCCTCTTCTTTGCTCCCAAAGCACATTTGCATTCCCCATTCACCACACTTTTTGCATTATTTAAATTATTTGTTTACTCCTCAGTATCTTCCGCTTGATTTAACTTTCTTTAAGGCAACGGTTCTCAACCGAGGATTATTTTGCCCTCTGGGGCACATTTGGCAATGTCTAGAGATACTTTTGGTTGTCACAACTAGCAGGAAAGTGCTATTAGAATTTACTGGGTAGAGGCCTGTGATGCTGCTGAACATTTTACAATGCTCTAGACAGCCTCCCACTAGAAAAATATTTGGCCCAAAGTTTCGACAATATCGAGGCTGAGAAACCACTCTTCAAGGTACACCCAACCACAAATTATTAGTCTTTGTATGCAGCACAAAATACAATATCTGGTACATAATAAATGCTCAATAGATGCTTGCTGAACAAGACTCAACTGATATAGTAGGTTAGAAAATTATGCTCCATCTTTTATTAAACACTTTTCTTAAACTTCAGGTTGTATTGGCCCCTCCATTCTTCATAATCTATTATTACCTTAAGTCACCCACCAGACTGGAGAAAATCTCTCCATATTTACATGCTCGTTAGATGGTAATCAGTCTCACATATCTTTGCATCTCAGTCCCTGCATATACAAAGCAGTATTTAAAGATACTATTAAAAGCTACATGCAGAAATACTTATCATAATTAGGTGACTTACTGGTATCTCCCTCCTGCAAAAGCATAACTCCTCTTAGTCCCAAAGCCTGTAGGACACACAGCCTCAGGGGATCTACAGCCAGCAGAGAGTAAAATCATCTGGGGGTTATGAAGGCTGGCCCTGATGTACATTACTGTTTTCTATTTTCTGTTTCTCTGTTATGTAAGTCTGTAATATTCCATTATATATATGAGCTATAACAGCTGACCCTGTTCAAATTTCTCTCAAACTTACATTGCTCCTCATTGAGGTTGTGATTTTATTTTTATCTGTTCTTCACAGGTCTGAAAAAGCATGTTACCCAAACTGGTGTCAGGACACTCTATAGTAGGAACTGTCTTGCTTTTCTTGCAGTTAGAAACATGCATTCCCCTGACAACTCACTACAGAAAAAGTTGTGATTTTTTTCTCATTGAAAACAGATAAAATAAAATCAACAGCCATAATTGGTAGCTCTTGTTCAAGAGCAAGAAAATGAAAGCCTTTCTCACAAAAGACATTGGGAAAAAAAAGTCTGTTAAATTTGATTAGATCATTAACAAACTACTCAACCTCTTTTGTTAATGTTTATATTTGATAGCAGTCTAATATTCTCATATTGGAAGAATATAATCTTCATCTCCTCCATATTTTTTATGAATTATGACCTATATTACACTTTCTTTGGCTTAATATCTCAGTCTTCAGCTATTCAATCCTTTATTTTTAATTTTGTTTAAGATTTAATTAAGATATTTCTCTGGTATTTTTTCTAAGTACTAGGTTAATGACCATCTGTCATTTGATCATTTTTCTATAAAGAAAACGCCACTACAACTTCCATTTTTAGCTATGACAAAGTAGCTACTAGCAAATCAACACTCACACCAAAAACAACTAGAAAAGCTGAATAAAACATAAAATGAAAACCATTTTCAAGGTATTGGAGAGATTCAAATCAGCCAAGACTCAAGGGGACAAGAAGCCAAAGAAACAAGAAGCTTCTTAGAGTGAACTCGACATTTTTTAAAAGATTTTTTTAACTTTTATTTGAGGTTCAGGGGTACATGTGAAGGTTTGTTACATAGGTAAACTCACGTCATAGAGGTTTGTTGCACAGATTATTTCATATTTCAGTTATGAAGCCTAATATCTAATAGTTATTTTTTCTGCTCCTCTCCCTCCTCCCACCCTTCACCCTCAAGTAGACCCCAGCGTCTGTTGGTACTTCGTGTTCATGAACTTGATATCTTGTGTATCAATTTTTCCCTTTAGGCATTTGCCAAATCTTTAGGACACTGGGGCTGGTCAATAAAGAAGAAAATATTAGTGGATGAGTAAAGTTTTCAATGGTCTCAAGGAGGTGGGGAAATAAAGAATTTGAGTTTAAGCCTGATCAGGCAGCCAGGACTTAAGAAAACAAGAATCTGAGGAGAAGAAATGAGCCCGACATGTACACTAATTCTCCCTTCAAGATATCTGACAAATCTTAGGCCGAGCGTGGTGGCTCATGCCTGTAATCCCAGCACTTTGGAAGGCCAAGGTGGGCGGATCACCTGAGGTTGGGAATTCGAGACCAGCCTGACCAACATGGAGAAACTCTGTCTCTACTAAAAATACAAAATAAGCCGGGCATAGTGGTGCATACTTGTAATCCCAGCTACTCCGGAGGCTGAGGCAGGAGAATCACTTGAACCCGGGAGGCGGAGGCTGCAGTGAGCCGAGATCGCGCCATTGCACTCTAGCCTGAGCAACAAGAGTGAAACTCAGTCTCAAAAAAAAAAAAAAAAAAAAAAAAAAAAAAAAAAAGATATTTGCCAAATCTTAAGCTGTGCATGGTGAGAAGCTAAGTAGAAAGTCACCATAAAGTAGAACAAAGTTTTTTGTAGATTGCCCTAAGAAAGAAAGGCCAGCAAACATCACAGACTTTATCTGGGGACCCCTAGAGAGATATGTCCCAGAAGTAAACAGAGTTTTACAAACGTTGAACTTACCTTAAGACACCTTGTTCTCTTATTAAATTGAGGTGATTTGCTTCTACCTAGCTGTTTTCCAGAGGACAAGTTAAGGCCCATTTAGAGAAATATAGTATCACCCAAATCTTTACTTTTTTTTTGTTGAGATGGAGTCTTGCTCTGTCACCAGGCTGGAGTGCAGTGGCACAGTCTCGGCTCACTGCAACCTCCGCCTCCCAGGTTCAAGCAATTCTTCTGCCTCAGCCTCCCGAGTAGCTGGGACTACAGGCACGCGCCACCACACCCGGCTAATTTTTGTATTTTTAGTAGAGACAGGATTTCACCTTGTTGGCCAGGATGGTCTCAATCTCCTGACCTCGTCATCCACCTGCCTCTGCCTCCCAGAGTGCTGGGATTACAGGCATGAGCCACTGTGCCCTGCCTTTAAAACTTTTTAATGCAAAAAATCTAGCAGCCAATCAAAAATTACCAGAACCAAAAGGGAAGACAAAAGAATAGGGAAAGTAATTTAATAGAAAGGGATTCATAGTTGATTCATATTTTGGAGTTATTAAAAATTGAATTTAAAATAATTGTGGTCAGGTGCAGTGGCTCATGTCTCTAATCACAGCACTTTGGGAGTCCGAGCAGGTGGATCACTTGAAGTCGGGAGTTCAAGGCCAGCCTGGCACACACAGTGAAACCCCCTCTCTACTAGAAATACAAAAACAATTAGCCTGGCATGATGGCATGTGCTTGTAATCCCAGCTACTCGGGAGGCTGAGACAACAGAATCGCTTGAACCCGGAAGGTGGAGGTTGCAGTGAGCCCAGATTGCTCCACTGTACTCCAGCCTGGGAGACAGTAAGACTCTGTGTCAAAAAAAATTAAAATTAAAATGTTTAAAAATAAATAAATAAAATAATTGTAATTAATATGCTCAAGAAGATCAAGAACAGGAGGTAGAGTTTTACCAGAGAACAGATGGCACAAATGAAAAATAGCAAGAGTACATATATATGTATATTTATATTTGTATATCCAAATATATCAGTAATTACATTAAATGTAAACAGACTAAATAATCTAACAAAAAGATTAAAATTGACAGACTGGATTATGAAAACAATATCCAAATCCATACTGCCTGCAAAATGTGACAAAGGTATTACAAGAAAGGAGAATTATAGTTTTATCACTCATATAAATATAGATGCAAATATCATTAACAAAATATTAGCAATTCAAATTTAAATTATGCAAAAAGCACAATACATTGAGAGCAAGTTGGATTTATTTCAGGAATGAAAGTTCGGTTTTAAATTGAAACATCAATGTAATTCCCCACATTAAGAGGGAAAAATGAAGGTGCAGTCACATATGATTATCTCAATAAATGCTGCAAAAACATTTCTGGATCTTTTCTTTAAAGTTTGGTAATGTTCTAAATTAATTTTATCTGGTTATATGCTTCTAAAGAAACCTAAAGGAAACATCATGTTAAACAGTGAAATATTACAGGGTTGATACAGTCTGGCTCTGTGTCCCCACCCAAATCTCATCTTGAATTGTAATCTCCACCTGTTGGGGGAGGGACCTTCTGGAAGGTTACTGGATCATGGGAGTGGTTCCCCCATGCTGTTCTCCTGATAGTAAGTGAGTTCTCAAAAGATCTGTTGGTTTTATAAATGGCAGTTTTTCCTGCACTCATTCACTCTCTCCTGCTGCCATGTGAAAAGGCCCAAGCTTGCTTCCCCTTCACCTTCCACCATGATTGTAAGTTTCCCGAGGCCTCCCTAGCCATGGGGAACTGAGTCAATTAAACCTCTTTTCTCTATAAATTACCCAGTCTCAGGTATTTATTTATAGCATTGTGAAAACAGACTAATACAAGGCTATAACTACATACTCTAAAGGGCCTAGTATGCTCAATAAGACGTGTAAAAGGAATAAGAACTGGAAAGGGAGAAATGAGATTATATTCATAAATGGCACGATTATATATATAGAAAATCCAGGCTGAGCCCAGTAGGTCACATCTGTAATCCTAGCACTTTAGGAGGGCGAGGATAGTGGATCACTTGAGACCAGGAGCTAGAGACAAGCCTAGCCAACATAGCAAAACCCTGTGTCTACAAAAAATGCAAAAATTAGCCAGGTGTTGGTAGCTCATGTCTGTAGTCCCAACTACCTGAGAGGCTGAGGCTGGAGAATCACTGGAACCCAGGAGGCAGTGGTTGCAGTGAGCCGAGATCCTGCCACTGCACTCTAGCCTGGGCGACAGAGTGAGACCCCTGTCTCAAAAACACAGAACAAAAAAAACAAACATTAGCTGGGCATGGTGGCACATGCCTGTAATCCCAGCTACTCGAAAGGCTGAGGCACGAGAATCACTTGAACCCAGGAGGTGGAGGTTACAGTGAGCCAACATCGCACCACTGCACTCCAGCCTGAGTGAGAGAGAAAGACTCTGTCTCTAAATAAATATAAAGCCAGTTCAACATGCGAAAATCAATTGAAATTTGTACAATAGCAATAAACACATAGAAAATAAAAATTTTAAAACAGTATCTTTTACAAAACAGCATTGAAAAACAACTTTAAGACATAGGAAAAAATCTCATGAAAGATTTGGAGGATGTTTGTACAGAAAGCAAAAAAATAGTGAGACCGGAAAAAAGGTCTAAATAATACCTTGTTTGTTGATGAGAAGGCTTAATATTGTGAATATGCAGTTTGTTCTCAAATTATTTTATAGACTAAATGCAATTATAATTACAATTTTAGAGGGCATGGGTGTCTGTCTGCCTGTACATGTATGTGCATGTGTATATATACATATATTCACTAATATTTAAATTTAAATGCAAACACTCATTTTTGAAAAGATCAAAATTGGAGTACTTGCTCCTGCAGACAGTGTGATATGAACCCAAGGATGGATAAATAGACCAATACAACAGAATAGAGAATACAGAAACAAACAAAACATATACAGTCACTTGATTTATGACAAAGGCCACTACAAGGTAGTAGTAGTACAACATAGTAGAAAAGGGTGCTTTTTAAATAAACTGTAGCTACTAAAATGTAGTAGAAAAGGGTGATTTTTAAATAAAGGATGCTGAGGCCATGACATCCCTACATGAGAAAAAATATAAATCTTGACCTTTACATTACACCATCAAGAAAACCTCTTCCAGATGTATTTTAAGTTTAAATGGAGTGTATAACACTAAAAGCTTCAAAAAATAACATAGGAAATTTGTATTATATTTTATTTTACTATATTGTATTATATTAGACATTTTCAACAGAACCTCAAAAGCACTAACCATGAAAGAAAAGATGAATCAACTGAGCTACCTTAAAATTAAGAACAACAAAAAAAGGCATCTTAAAAAGTAAAAAAAAAAAAAAAAAAAGAATGAAAGAAAACATTTTATATTTATCTGGCCAACAAAGGTCTTGTACCCAAAGCTCCTACAAAACAGTAAGAAACTAATTAGTACAAACTAATGCAGGAACAGAAAACCAAATACCACAAGTTATCACTTATAAGTGGAAGCTGCATGATAAGAACTTATGAACACAAAGAAGGAAACAACAGACACTGGCGTCTACTTGAAGAGGGAGGGTGGGAGGAGGAAGAGGAACAGAAAAGATAGCTATTGGGTACTGGGTTAATATCTGGGTGTTGAAATAATCTGTACAACAAACCTCCATGACACAAGTTTACCTATGTAACAAAGGTTCACATGTATCCCCAAACCTAAAATAAAAGTTAAAAATAAAATAAATAAAATAAAACAATAAAGAAAAAGTGGATAATTCAGTTTTAAAAATAGACAAATGACTCATATGGACACTTCATAAAAGATGATCTAAAATGGAGAATAAATGTGAATATGTTCTCATAATCATTACTCCTCATGGAAATGCAAAGTAAAACTTGTGAGATATCATAAGAATAGATAAAATTGAAAAGAATCATACCAAGTGTTCATCAGAATGTGGATAACTAAACTCTCATACCCTGTTCTGAGAGTGTGACTTAGTGTAATCACAGTTTGGCAATATCCACTAAAGCTAGATACATGCATAATCTATGATGAAGCACTGCTACTTCTATGTATATGCACTGCAAAGATGCAAAAATATGTTCATCAAAAGACATTTATATGGCCATCTGTGATCTTCCCTAGGAAAAAAAAGTAAAATTTTTAAAAGACGTTTATAAGAATGCTATTGTAGCACTATTTGTATTACTCAAAAACTGAAAGCAATACAAATGTTTTTTAACAGTAGAATGGATTAATAAATTATAATGTATTCATACAAGGGAAAGCTAAACAGCAATAAGAATGAAAAACACTGTTGCACACAACAACACTGATAATCTCAATGAAAGAGAACAAACACAAGAGAACCAAGGCTATACAACTTCATCTATTTAAAGTTTAAAAGCATACAGAATTAATTAGTGACATGAAGTAAAAATAGTGGTTGCTTTTGGGAGGTGATGTTAGTGACTGGGAAGAGCTATTGGTAATTATTCTGTTTATTTATCTGAGTAATGGTTACACCAGTGTGTTCATTAGTGAAACAAATTCACTGAGCTGCACTTTTATAATTTGTGCCCTCTTCCTATGTATGGTAAATTTTAGCATGAAGTTTATGATGGAAAAATTCCATTACACAATACATGACAAAGCAATCTTCATGTTTCAGGAGTAGCTTATAGAAGTTGTATTTGGTGTATGGTTCTTCCTATGCATGGTATATTTTAGCAAGAAGTTTATGATCTAAAAATTCCATTACAAAACTCATGACAAAGCAATGTTCATGTTTTAGGAGTAGCTTATAGAAGTTGTATTTGGTGGTAAGGTTGCAAAAAGAAATTTTGACCTCGATATATTACTTATTTTAATTAAGATATCCTTTTCTTCATTCCACGTATATTCACCAGTTGACATTACATTATATATTAATTTGTTTTTTACTTGTCCCCCCGACTATTATGTAAACTACACAAAGGCAAAGAGTTTATTTCATTCACTGCTATATATTCAGCATCTAAACTACTATCTTAAAAATTTTTAATAAATATTTACCAAATGAATGAATCAAGCTGATTATGATCATTCTTAGTAATTGAGACTTTCACTTAAATTTTATTTGAATTTCACATTCACTGAAACCTACAGTAAGCCTTTAATAATTCTAGATCTTTAGCAACTTACATGCAGTGGGCAATAAGTAATTTAAATTTTTAAAATTTTGAAAGATAATTCCTTAAACCTGCTTCCTAGCTACAATGAAGATGTGTAGGGAGAAGACCAGAAAGCATTATAAAGTAATAGTTTGGTT